>NC_000014.9:66581409-66884440 GCF_000001405.40 Homo sapiens
TAAGATAAAAAGTGGGAATCAGAGCATAGCACTAGAGAAAATCCTCTAACCATAAAGGAAGACAGCAAGAAAGGAAGAAAGAATTACAAAACAACCGGAAAACAATGAACAATATAGCAATAGTAAATCCTTACCTATAAATAATTACCTTGAATATTAATAGATTAAATTCTTCAAAGAAAAGATAGTGACTGAATCAATCAGAAAATAAGACCCAAGTATGTTCTGCCTATAAGAGAATCACTCTCACCTTTAAGGGCACATACAGATTGAATGTGACAGGATAGAAGTAGATAATCCATGCTGATGGAAACCAAAAGAAAGCAGGAGTAGCTATACTTATATCAGATGAAATAGAATTTAAATAAAAATTATAAAAAGAGACACAGAAAAGGTCATATAATGTAAAGGGGTCAATTTATGAAGAAGATATAACAATTGTAAATATATCTGCACCCAACATCAGAGTACCTAAATATATAAAGTAAATGTTAATAAATCTGAAGAATGAGATAGACTGCAATATAGTGTAGTAGACTTTAGTATGCCTCTTTAAATAATGAACAGATCATCCAGACAAAAAATGATATAGAACTTGAACTACATCTTAGACCAAATGTAACAGACGTATATAGAGCATTTCAGCCTTCTATCCAACAGTAGCAGAATCCACATTTTTCTCGAGCATTTTGGAAACTTCCCCAGGATAGATCGTAAGTCAGACCAGAAAATAAATCTCAACAAATTTAAGAAGATTGAAATTATGCCAAATATCATCTCCAGTCACAATGGTATGAAAATAGAATTCATAACAGAAGGAATATTGCAACATTTATAAATTTGCACAAACTTACTTGGCCCTAAACAACCAAGAGTAAAACTGAAATGGGAAATTAAAGGGAAATTAAAAATATCTTGAGACAAATGAAAATACTACATAACAAAAATTATGGGATGCAACAAAAGCATTTTATTTTATTTTATTTTATTTTACTTTAAGTTTTAGGGTACATGTGCACAATGTGCAGGTTTGTGACATATGTATACATGTGCCATGTTGGTGTGCTGCACCCATTAACTCATCATTTAGCATTAGGTATATCTCCTAATGCTATCCCTCCCCTCTCCCCCCACCCCACAACAGTCCCCAGTGTGTGATGTTCCCCTTCCTGTGTCTATGTGTTCTCATTGTTCAATTCCCACCTATGAGTGAGAACATGCAGTGTTTGGTTTTTTGTCCTTGCGATAGTTTGCTGAGAATGATGGTTTCCAGCTTCATCCATGTCCCTACAAAGGACATGAACTCATCATTTTTTATGGCAGCATGGTATTCCATGGTGTATATGTGCCACATTTTCTTAATCCAGTCTATCATTGTTGGATATTTGGGTTGGTTCCAAGTCTTTGCTATTGTGAATAGTGCCGCAATAAACATACATGTGCATGTGTCTTTATAGCAGCATGATTTATAATCCTTTGGGTATATACCCAGTAACGGGATGGCTGGGTCAAATGGTATTTCTAGTTCTAAATCCCTGAGGAATCGCCACACTGACTTCCACAATGGTGGAACTAGTTTACAATCCCACCAACAGTGTAAAAGTGTTCCTATTTCTCCACATCCTCTCCAGCACCTGTTGTTTCCTGACTTTTTAATGATTGCCATTCTAACTGGTGTGAGATGGTATCTCATTGTGGTTTTGATTTGCATTTCTCTGATGGCCAGTGATGATGAGCATTTTTTCATGTGTTTTTTGGCTGCATAAATGTCTTCTTTTGAGAAGTGTCTGTTCATATTCTTTGCCCACTTTTTGATGTGGTTGTTTGTTTTTTTCTTGTAAATTTGTTTGAGTTCATTGAAGATTCTGGATATTAACCCTTTGTCAGATAAGCAGGTTGCAAAAATTTTCTCCCAATCTGTAGGTTGCCTGTTCACTCTGATGGTAGTTTCTTTTGCTGTGCAGAAGCTCTTTAGTTTAATTAGATCCCATTTGTCAATTTTGGCTTTTGTTGCCATTGCTTTTGGTGTTTTAGACATGAAGTCCTTGCCCATGTCTGTGTCCTGAATGGTAATGCCTAGGTTTTTTTCTAGGGTTTTTACGGTTTTAGGTCTAACATGTAAGTCTTTAATCCATCTTGAATTAATTTTTGTATAAGGTGTAAGGAAGGGATCCAGTTTCAGCTTTCTCCATATGGCTAGCCAGTTTTCCCAGCAGCATTTATTAAATAGGGAATCCTTTCCCCATTGCTTGTTTTTGTCAGGTTTGTCAAAGATCAGATAGTTGTAGATATGCGGCATTATTTCTGAGGGCTGTGTTCTGTTCCAGTGGTCTATATCTCTGTTTTGGTACCAGTACCATGCTGTTTTGGTTACTGTGTCCTTGTAGTATAGTTTGAAGTCAGGTAGCGTGATGCCTCCAGCTTTGTTCTTTTGGCTTAGGATTGACTTGGCAATGCGGGCTCTTTTTTGGTTCCATATGAACTTTAAAGTAGTTTTTTCCAATTCTGTGAAGAAAGTCATTGGTAGCTTGATGGGGATGGCATTGAATCTATAAATTACCTTGGGCAGTATGGCCATTTTCACGATACTGATTCTTCCTACCCATGAGCATGGAATGTTCTTCCATTTGTTTGTAACCTCTTTTATTTCATTGAGCAGTGGTTTGTAGTTCTCCTTGAAGAGGTCCTTCACATCCCTTGTAAGTTGGATTCCTAGGTATTTTATTCTCTTTGTAGCAATTGTGAATGGGAGTTCACTCATGATTTGGCTCTCTGTTTGTCTGTTATTGGTGTATAAGAATGCTTGTGATTTTTTGCACATTGAGTTTGTATCCTGAGACTTTGCTGAAGTTGCTTATCAGCTTAAGGAGATTTTGGGCTGAGACGATGGGGTTTTCTAGTTATACAATCTTGTCATCTGCAAACAGGGACAATTTGACTTCCTCTTTTCCTAATTGAATACCCTTTATTTCCTTCTCCTGCCTGATTGTTCTGGCCAGAACTTCCAACACTATGTTGAATAGGAGTGGTGAGAGAGGGCATCCCTGTCTTGTGCCAGTTTTCAAAGGGAATGCTTCCAGTTTCTGTCCATTCAGTATAATATTGGCTGTGGGTTTGTCATAGATAGCTCTTATTATTTTGAGATATGTCCCATCAATATCTAATTTATTGAGAGTTTTTAGCATGAAGGGTTGTTGAATTTTGTGGAAGGCCTTTTCTGCATCTATTGAGATGATCATGTGGTTTTCGTCTTTGGTTTTGTTTATATGCTGGATTACATTTATTGATTTTCGTATGTTGAGCCAGCCTTGCATCCCCGGGATGAAGCCCACTTGATCATGGTGGATAAGCTTTTTGATGTGCTGCTGGATTCGGTTTGCCAGTATTTTATTGAGGATTTTTGCATCAATGTTCATCAAGGATATTGGTCTGAAATTCTCTTTTTTGGTTGTGTCTCTGCCCGGCTTTGGTATCAGGATGATGCTGGCCTCTTAAAATGAGGTAGGGAGGATTCCCTCTTTTTCTATTGATTGGAATAGTTTCAGAAGGAATGGTACCAGTTCCTCCTTGTACCTCTGGTGGAATTTGGCTGTGAATCCATCTGGTCCTGGACTTTTTTTGGTTGGTAAGCTATTAATTATTGCCTCAGTTTCAGAGCCTGTTATTGGTCTATTCAGAGATTCAACTTCTTCTTGATTTAGTCTTGGGAGGGTGTATGTGTCCAGGAATTTATCCATTTCTTCTAGATTTTCTAGTTTATTTGTGTAGAGGTGTTTATAGTATTCTCTGATGGTAGTTTGTATTTCTGTGGGATCGGTGATGATATCCCCTTTGTTATTTTTTGTCACGTCTATTTGATTCTTCTCTCTTTTCTTCTTTATTAGTCTTGCTAGCGGTCTATCAATTTTGTTGATCTTTTCAAAAAACCAGCTCCTGGATTCATTGATTTTTTGAAGCGTTTTTTGTGTCTCTATTTCCTTCAGTTCTGCTCTGATCTTATTTATTTCTTGCATTCTGCTAGCGTTTGAATGTGTTTGCTCTTGCTTCTCTAGGTCTTTTAATTGTGATGTTAGGGTGTCAATTTTAGATCTTTCCTGCTTTCTCTTGTGGGCATTTAGTGCTATAAATTTCCCTCTACACACTGCTTTAAATGTGTCCCAGAGATTCTGGTATGTTTTGTCTTTGTTCTCGTTGGTTTCAAAGAACATCTTTATTTCTGCCTCCATTTCGTTATGTACCCAGTAGTCATTCAGGAGCAGGTTGTTCAGTTTCCATGTAGTTGAGCAGTTTTGAGTGAGGTTCTTAATCCTGAGTTCTAGTTTGATTGCACTGTGGTCTGAGAGACAGTTTGTTATAATTTCTGTTCTTTTACATTTGCTGAGGAGTGCTTTACTTCCAACTATGTGGTCAATTTTGGAATAGGTGTGGTGTGGTGCTGAGAAGAATATATATTCTGTTGATTTGGGGTGGAGAGTTCTGTAGATGTCTATTAGGTCTGCTTGGTGCAGAGCTGAGTTCAATTCCTGGATATCCTTGTTAACTTTCTGTCTCGTTGATCTGTCTAATGTTGACAGTGGGGTGTTAAAGTCTCCCATTATTATTGTGTGGGATTCTAAGTCTCTTTGTAGGTCACTAAGAACTTGCTTTATGAATCTGGGTGCTCCTGTATTGGGTGCATATATATTTAGGGTAGTTAGCTCTTCTTGTTGAATTGATCCCTTTACCATTATGTAATGGCCTTCTTTGTCTCTTTTGCTCTTTGTTGGTTTAAAGTCTGTTTTATCAGAGACTAGGATTGCAACCCCTTCCTTTTTTTGTTTTCCATTGGTTTGGTAGATCTTCCTCCATCCCTTTATTTTGAGCCTATGTGTGTCTGCATGTGAGATGGATTTCCTGAATACAGCACACTGATGGGTCTTGACTCTGTATCCAGTTTACCAGTCTGTGTCTTTTAATTGGAGCATTTAGCCCATTTACATTTAAGGTTAGTATTGTTATGTGTGAATTTGATCCTGTCATTATGATGTTAGCTGGTTATTTTGCTCGTTAGTTGATGCAGTTTCTTCCTAGCCTTGATGGTCTTTACAGTTTGGCATGTGTTTGCAGTGGGTGGTACCAGTTGTTCCTTTCCATATTTAGTGCTTCCTTCAGGAGCTCTTGTAGGGCAGGCTTGGTGGTGACAACATATCTCAGCATTTGCTTATCTGTAAAGGATTTTATTTCTCCTTCACTTATGAAGCTTAGTTTGGCTGGATATGAAATTCTGGGTTGAAAATTCTTTTCTTTAAGAATATTGAATATTGGCCCCCACTCTCTTCTGGCTTGTAGAGTTTCTGCAACGAAAGCATTTCTAAGAGAAGTTTATAGCAATAAACACACAGATCAAAAATAAGAAAGATCCCACTAAAACAGTCTAATGCTGAACCTCAAAGGACTAGAAAAAACAACAATATAAATCCCTAGTTTATAGTAGCAAAGAAAAAAACAAAGGTCAGAACAGAAATAAGTGAAATAGAGACTGTAAAACAATAGGAAAGATGAACAAAACAGAATTGATTTTTTCAGAAGATAAACAGTTGACAAACTTTTAACTAAGAAAAATGACAGAAGACTGAAATATATAAAATAAAAAATGAAAGAGTAGGCAATACAGGAGATACCACAGAAATACAGATGACAAGAGACTACTGTGAACAGTTATACACAAACAAATTACATAACCTAAAACACATGGATGAGATCCTGGAAATGTACAACTACCAAGAATGAATCATGAAGAAATAGAAAAGCTTTACATAATAACAAGTAAGGAGATTAAGTCAATAATAAAAAATAGCTCTTATGTGAAAAAGTTCAGGACTTGATGGTTTCACATCTGAACTTTACAAACATTTAAAGAAGAAGTAATACCAATGCTTCTGAAATTCTTCCAAAAAATTGAGGAGTAGATAAATCTTTCAAACTATTTTAAGAGGCCTGTATGACCCTGATACCATAGACAAACAAGTATATTATAAGAAAAAATTACCAGCCAATATTCCTGATAAACAGATGCAGATATTCTCAATAAAATACTAGCAAATTAAATTCAGTAACACATTATAAGGATCTGTTGTCATGATCAAGTTGGATTTATTTCTGGGATGCAAGTTTGGTTCAACTTATGCAAATCAGTGGAGGTCATACACTACATTAACAAAAAGAAGGACAAAAATATGGCTATCTGAATAGATGCAGAAGAGGCATTTGACAAAATCTAAAATATTAAGTAAAGAAGATTATATTAGTCCATTCTGACATTACTATAAAGAACTGTAGGAGAGCAGCCCCAGTGCTTATAGATAAAACTCCCATCTCCCTAGGACAGAGCACCTGGGGGAATGGGCGGCTCTGGGTGCAGCTTCGGCAGACTTAAATGTTCCTGCCTGCCAGCTCTGAAGAGAGCAGCAGATCCCCCAGCACAGCATTCGAGCTCTGCTAAGGGATGGACTGCCTCCTCAAGTGGGTCCCTGACCCTCATGCCTCCTGACTGGGAGACACCTCCCAGCAAGGGTTGACAGACACCTCATACAGGAGAGCTCCGGGTGGCATCTGCCAGGTGCCCCTCTGGGACGAAGCTTCCAGAGGAAGGAACAGGTAGCAATCTTTGCTGTTCTGCAGCCTCCGCTGGTGATACCTAGGCAAACAGGGTCTGGAGTGGACCTCCAGCAAACTAGAGCAGACCTTCAGCAGAGGGGCCTGACTGTTAGAAGGAAAACTAATGAACAGAAAGGAATAGCATCAACATCAACAAAAAGGATGTCCACCAAGAGACCCCATCCTAAGGTCACCAACATCAAAGAACAAAGATAGAGAAATCCACGAAGTTGAGGAGGAACCAGCACAAAAGACTGAAAATTCCAAAAACCAGAATGCCTCTTCTCCTCCAAAGTATCACAACTCCTTGCCAGCAAGGGAACAAAACTGGAATGAGAATTAGTTTGATGAATTGACAAAATTAGGCTTCAGAAGGTGGGTAATAACAAACTTCTCTGAGCTAAAAGAGCTGTTCTAACCCAATGCAAGAAGCTAAGAACCTTGAAAAAAAGTTAGATGAATTGCTAACTAGAGTAACCAGTTTAGAGAAGAACATAAGTGACCTTATGGAGCTGAAAAACAGCACAACAACTTTGTGAAGCATACACAAGTATCAATAGGCGAATCGATCAAGCGGAAGAAATGATATCAGAGATTGAAGATCAACTTAATGAAATAAAGTGTGAAGACAAGATTAGAGAAAAAAGAATGAAAAGGAAACAAGCCTCCAAGAAATATGGGACTATGTGAAAAGACCAAACCTATGTTTGATTGGTGTACCTGAAAGTGACAGGGAGAATGGAACCACACTGGAAATCACTCTTCAGGATATTATCCAGGAGAACTTTCCCAACCTAGCAAGACAGGCCAACATTCAAATTCAGGGAATACAGAGAACACCACAAAGATACTACTAGAGAAGAGCAACCCCAAGACACATAATCGTCAGATTCATCAAGGTTGAAATGAAGGAGAAAATGTTAAGGGCAGCCAGAGAGAAAGGTCAGGTTACCCACAAAGGGAAGGCCATCAGACTAACAGTGGATCTCTCAGTAGAAATCCTACAAGCCAGAAGAGAGTGGGGGCCAATATTCAACCTTCTGAAAAAAAAGAAGTTTCAACCCAGAATTGCATATCCAGCCAAATTAAGCTTCATAAGCAAAGGAGAAATAAAATCCTTTACAGACAAGCAAATGCTGAGAGATTTTGTCACCACCAGGCCTTCCTCACAAGAGCTCCTGATGGAAGCACTAAATATGGGAAGAAAAAACCGGTACCAGCCACTGCAAAAACATACCAAATTGTAAAGTCTTTCGACACTATGAAGAAACCGCATCAGCTAATGGGCAAAATAACCAGCTAGCATCATAATGACAGGATCAAATTCACACATAATATTTATATAACCTTAAATGTAAACAGGCTAAATGCCCCAATTAAAATACACAGACTGGTAAATTGGATAAAGAGTCAGGACCCATTGATGTGCTGTATTTAGGAGACTGATCTCAATCCTAGTCTCTGAAAAAACAGACTTTAAACCAACAAAGATAAAAAAAAAAGACAAAGAAGGGCTTTTTACATTTTTACAAAGAAGGGCTTTACCATTACATAATGGTAAAGGGATCAATGCAACAAGAGCTAACTATCCTAAATACATATGCACCCAATACAGGAGCACCCAGATTCATAAAGCAAGTTCTTAGAGACCTACAAAGAGACTTAGACTCCCACACAATAATAGTGGGAGACTTTAACACCCCACTGTCAATATTAGACAGCTCAATGAGACAGAAAATTAATAAGGATATTCAGGATTTGAACTCAGCTCTGGACCAAGCGGACCTAATAGACATCTACAGAACTCTCCACCCGAAACCAACAGAATATACATTCTTCTCAGCACCACATTTCACTTATTCTAAAATTGACCACATAGTGGAAGTAAAACACTCTTCAGCAAATGCAAAAGAATGGAAATCATAATAGTCTCTCAGACCACAGTACAATCAAATTAGAACTCAGGACTAAGAAACTCACTCAAAACCGCGTAACTACGTGGAAACTGAGCAACCTGCTCCTGAATGACTACTGGGTAAATAACAAAATTAAGGCAGAAATCAGTAAGTTCTTTGATTCCTATGAAAACAGACACAACATAGAGGAATCTCTGGGACACAGCTAAAGCAGTGTTTAGAGGGAAATTTATAGCACTAAATGCCCACAGGAGAAAGCGGGCAAGATCTAACATCGACACCCTAACATCACAATAAAAGAACTAGAGAAGCAAGAGCAAACAAATTCGAAAGCTAGCAGAAGACAAGAAATAACTAAGATGAGAGCTAGAGACACAAAAATCCCTTCAAAAAATCAATGAATCAGGAGTTGCTTTTTTGAAAAGATTAACAAAATAGATCGAAAGCCAGACTAATAAAGAAGAAAAGAGAGAAGAATTAAACAGACATTATAAAAATGATAAAGGGGATATCACCACTGATCCCACAGAAATACAAACTACCATCAGAGAATGATATAAACATCTCTACTCAAATAAACTGCAAAATCTAGAAGAAATGGATAAATTCCTGGACGCATACACCCTCCCAAGACTAAACCTGGAAGAAGTTGAATCCCTGAATAGACCAATAACAAGTTCTGAAATTGAGGCAGTAATTAATAGCCTACCAACCAAAAAATACCCAGGACCAGACAGATTCACAGCCAAATTCTACCAGAAGTACAAAGAGGAGCTGGTACCATTCCTTCTGAAACTGTTCCAAACAAGAGAAAGAGAAGGAATCCTCCCTAACTCATTTTTTGAGACCAGTATCATCCTGATACCAAAACTTGGCAGAGACACAACAAAAAAAGAAAATTTCAGGCCAATATCCCTGATATGAACATCAATGCAAAAATCCTCAATAAAATACTGGCAAACCGAATCCAGCAGCACATCAAAAATCTTATCCACCATAATCAAGTCGGCTTTATCTCTGGGATGCAAGGCTGGTTTAACCTATGCAAATCAATAAACACAATCCATTATGTAAACCGAAGCAACGATGAAAACCACATGATTATCTCAATAGATGCAGAAAAGGCCTCCGATAAAATTCAAGAGCCTTCATGCTAAAAACTCTCAATAAACTTGGTATTGATGAAACATATCTCAAAATAATAAGTGCTATTTATGACAAACCCGCAGCCAATATAATACTGAATGGGCAAAAGCTGGAAGCATTCCCTTTGAAAACTGGCACAAGGCAAGGATGCCCTCTCTCACCACTCCTATTCAACATAGTATTGGAAGTTCTGGCCAGGGCAATCAGGCAAGAGAAAGAAATAAAGGGTATTCAAATAGGAATAGAAGACGTCAGATTGTCTCTCTTTGCAGATAACATGACTGTATATTTTGAAAACCCCATCGTCTCAGCCCAAAATCTCCTTAAGCTGATAAGCAACTTCAGCAAACTCTCAGGATACAAAATCAATGTGCAAAAATCACAAGAATTTCTATACATCAATAATAGAGAAACAGAGAGTGAAATCTTGAGTGAACTCCCATTCACAATTGCTACAAAGAGAATAAAACACTAAGAATACAACTTACAAGGGATGTGAAGGACCTCTTCAAGTACAACTACAAACCACTGCTCAAGGAAATAAGAGAGGACACAAAGAAATGGAAAAACATTCCAAGCTCATGGATAAGAAGAATCAATATCGTGAAAATGACCATACTGCCCAAAGTAATTTATAGATTAAGTGCTATCCCAATCAAGCTACCATTAACTTTCTTCACAGAATTAGAAAAAACTACTTTAAATTTCATATGGAACCAGAAAAGAGGCTATATAGCCAAGACAATCCTAAGCAAAAAGAACAAAGCTGGAGGCATCATGCTACCTGAATTCAAACTGTACTACAAAGGCTACAGTAACTAAAACAGCATGTTACTGGTACCAAAACAGATATATAGGCTAATGGAACAGAATGGAGTCCTTAGACATATCACCACACATCTACAGCCATCTTATCTTTGGCAAACTTGACAAAAGCAATGGGGAAACGATTCCCTATTTAATAAATGGTGTTGGGAAAACTGGCTAGCCATATGCATAAAAGTGAAACTAGACTCCTTCCTTACACCTCATACAAAAATTAACTCAAGATGGATTAAATACTTAAATGTAAGACCTAAAACCATAAAAACTCTAGAAGAAAACCTAGGCAATACCATTCAGGACATAGGCATGGGCAAGGACTTCATGTCTAAAACACCAAAAGCAATGGCAGCAAAAGCCAAAATTGATAAATGGGATCTAATTAAAGTAAAGAGCTTCTGCACAGCAAAAGAAACTATCATCACAGTGAACAGGCAGACTACAGAATGGGAGAAAATTTTTGCAATCCATCCATCTGACAAAGGGCCAATATCCAGAATCTAGAAGAAACTTAAACAAATATACAAGAAAAAAAAAAAAACCCCGTCAAGAAGTGGGCGAAGGATAGAACAGATATTTCCCAGAAGAAGACATTTGTGTGGCCAAAAAACATATGAAAAAAGCTCATCATCTTTCGTCACTAGAGAAATGCAAATCAAAACCACAATGTGATACCATCTCATGCCAGTTAAAATGGCTATCATTAAAATGTCAGGAAACTACAGATGCTGGAGTGGATGTGGAACAATAGGACCACTTTTACACTGTTGGTCAGAGTGTGAATTAGTTCAACCATTGTGGAAGACACTGGTGATTCCTCAAGGATCTAGAACCAGAAATACCACTTGACCCAGCAGTCCCATTACTGGGTATATACCCAAAGGATTATAAATCATTCTACTATAAGGACACATGCACACATACGTTTATTGCAGCAATATTCACAATAGCAAAGACTTAGAACCAACCCAAGTGTCCATCAGTGAAAGACTGGATAAATCAAATTTGGCACATGTACATCATGGAATACTATGGAGCCATAAAAACGATGAGTTCATGTCCTTTGCAGGGACGTGGATGAAGCTGGAAACTATCATTCTCAGATAACTAACACAGAAAGAGAAAACCAAACACTGCATGTTCTCACTCATAAATGGGAGTCAAACAATGAGAGCACATGGACACAGGGCGTGGAATATCACACACTGGGGCCTGTCTGGGGGTTGTGGGCTAGGGAAAGGATAGCATTAGGAGAAATACCTAATGTAGATGACAGGTTGATGGGTGCAGCAAACCACCATAGCATGTGTATGTATACCTATGTAACAAACCTGCACGTTTTGCACATGTATCCCAGAACTTAAAGTATTTAAAAAAAAAAAAAAACAAACAACTGTCCGATACTGGGCAATTTATCAATAAAAGAGGTTTAGTTGACTCACAGTTCTGCATGCTTGTGGAGCCCTCAGGAAACTTACAATTATGGCAGAAGGGGAAGCAGGCATGTCTTACATGGCATCAGGCAAGAGAGCATGTAATGGAAGCAAAGGGGGAAGAGCCCCTTATAAAACCATAAGATCTTATGAGAACTCACTATCATGAGAACAGCATAGGGGAATCCATGCCCAAGATCCAGTCACCTCCCACCAGGTCTCTTTCTCAACACCCAGGGATTACAGGGATTACAATTTGAGATGAGATTTGGGTGGGGACACAAAGCCAAATCATATCAAAGATTTACCTCTAAACATAATAAAGACAATATACCACAAGCCCATAGTGAGTATTATGCTCAGCACTGAAAAGTTGAAGGCCTTTTTCCTAAGATGAGGAACAAGACATGGGTACTCACCCTCACTTTTGTTCAACACAGTACTGAAAGTACTAACCAGAACAGTTAGGCAAGTCAAAGAAATAAAAAGGATTCAAATTGGAAAGGAAGAAGTAAAATTGTCTTTCCTTATAGATAACATAACCTTATATATAGAAAAGCTTAAAGACTCCACCAAAAACCTGTTAAAATTGATTAATAAATTCCATAAAGTTGTAGATTACAAAATCAACATACAATTTTTAGTAGCATTTCTATACAGTAACATCAAATTGCCTCAAAAGGAAATTGAGAACACAATCCTATTTACAGTAGTTTCAAAAATAAATTAGGTATAAATTTACCCAAAGAGGTAAAAACTCTGTAAGCAGAAAACTATAAACCATTTATGAAAGAAATTTAGGGAGATAAAATAAAAGGAAAGATATCCCATGTTCATGAATTGAAAGGATGAACATTGTTAAAGTGTCTCTACTTCCCAAAGTTATCTACAGATTCCATGCAACCCCCGTCAAAAACTCCAATGACATATTCCCCAGAAATAGAAAAAAAAAATCCTAAAATTTGTATGACATCACAAACACTTCAAAATAGCTAGAGCAATGTTGAGTAAAAAGGATAAAACTGGAGGCCTCATAGTGCGTGCTTTGAAAATCTACTACAAAGCTGTGTTAATCAAAACAGCATGGTGCTGGCATAAAAGCAGACACACAGACTTACAGGATAGAATGGAAAAGCCAGAAAAAAATCCACACATTTATCGCCAATTGATTGTTGATAAAAACGCCAAGATCACACAATGGGGGAAGGGCAGTCTCATCAATAAATGGTCGTAGGGAAACTGGGTGTTCACTTGCAGAAGAATAATATTAGACTCCCATCTCACATCATATATATATAAATCATCTCAAAATGGATTAAATGCTTAAATGTAAGACCTAAAACTGTGAAAGTAGTAAATAAATCATAGGAGAAAAGCTCTCTGTCATTGGTATGATCACACGTACTTTGGATATAACCCCCAAAGCACAGACGACAAAAGTACAAATAGACAAATAGGATGACATCAAACTAAAAAGCTTCTGCACAGCAAAGGAAACAGAATGAAGAGAAAACCTGTGGAAAAGGAGAAAGTATGTGAGACCATATGTCTGATAAGGAATTAATATCCAGAATATATGAGGAACTTGAAAGTAAGAAAACAATCTGATATAAAAACATGCAAAGGACCTATATAAACATTTTTGAAAATAAGACATATAATTGGCCAACAGGTTTATGAAAAAGTGATGAACATTACTGATCATCAGGAAAATGCAAATTATAACTCTAATGAGATACTGTCTTATAGCTGTTAGAGTGGCTACTTTAAAAAAGACCGAAGGTAAGTATTAGCAAGGTTATGGAGAAAAGAGAACCCTTGAAGACTGTTGGTTGGGTTGTAAATTAGTATTACAGCCATAATTGTAAACAGTATGGAGGTATCTCAAAAATAAGAAGTAGAACTATCATGTCATCCAACAATTTTACTATTTAGTGTATGTCCAAAGGAAATCATATCAGTATCTCAAAGAGATGCCTGTATTTCTGTCACGGCATCCTTGGAGTGTTACTTTTCTAGCTGGGAACCTCTGTGGCTGGTATTGCCTTTGTCTGAATTTTGCTTGGGCCTGCTTGGCTTGTTCTGCCTACTCTGCCTGGCAGGATACACTCTGCTCGCACTAACAGCCTGCCAAGGGTGAGCCAGGTACGGAGTGGTGAGGGGTGTGTGAGTTAGCGTGTGATCTGGCCACTGCACACAGCCAGGCACACTAGTTGTGGTGTGGTGGACAGCTCCAGGTGCCGGCACCCTGCAAGGCTGTGGCTCAATGAGGCTTACTGCAAGCAGCTTCCATGGCTGCCACTGGGGTAGGCAGTGGTGCCTGGAAGCTTGGAGACTTCAGGAACTGCAGAGCCCCATTGAGGGTGTCACAGCTCTGGCTTGGGGAGCTCTTAAGTCTGGGCTCCCTGAAGTGCTACAGCTCTTCTCTCCTTCTTGTCACCTGCAACGTGGCAAGCAAGGGGCGTGTTTCAGCCCTGTTTGTGTTACTGCTCTTTCAGTCGTGCCGTTCCGCAGGTCCTGAGTTCTTGTCCTGTGTCCAGGAAGAATGAGTTATGTGGACAAGTGGAGGGTGAACAAGGTGAAGAGATCCTTTATTGAGTGACAGAACAGCTTAAAGGAGACCCACAGTGGGTAGCTCCTCTCTGCAGGCAGGGCATCCTGACAAGTGTTCAGCTCTCAGCAGAGAGGAGACCCATAGTGGGTAGCTTCTCTCCACAGGCAGGTTGTCCCATCATCTGCTCAGCTCTCAGCAGAGAGGAGACCCTCAGTGGGTGGCTCTTTTCTGCTGGCAGATTGTCCTGTCATCTGCTTGAGTTTGGCTGAGTCCAGGGTTTCTATGGGCTTCAGAGGGGAGGAAGTGCATGCTGATTGGTCCATGGAAAGCCATGGGCAGGCCCAGAAAAAGCACCAGAAGTTCTCCCTCCAGTCCATGGCACTGGCAGTCCAGTCCCCAAACCTCAGGCTGTCTCTGACCTGAAGATGAGGTTTCACCAGGTACCTGCCCCTTTCCATCTAGGCCTGTCTGCCTCCTGCTGCCATTAACCTGCCATCCACGGTGCCCATGGTGCCCAGGCTGTTTGTGCTGAATGTTGCCTGCAGGCCTGCATCAAGCCACTCTTAGCCCCCTGTCAGCCTTTCTCCCATCCTCTTTGGTACCCAAAGTCTGGAGGGGGCCAAGGCATGAGGGGGCTGGTGTGTCATAGCTGCCCTGAATGTGTGCACACCTGGCTGATTCATGACAGTGCCCAGGCTTGGCCACAACTTTGCTTCAAAATTGGAGCGGGTGTTTGTAGTGGGTGCTTGGAGTGGGGAGAGGCTAGGCAGCAGGAGCAGTCACTTACAAGCTTGTGGGTCAGCAGGGCTTCCTGGGTCCCCAAGAGTGTAGAGATGCCCGGGTTTGCAGCCACAGCTTGACGGCTACAACTGCGCCCGGGGGGCGGGGCTCCCACCTGTTTAACTTGGAATGGGCTGGGAGCTTCCACCTGTTCTTGGTTCCTGCTGGCTCCGTGGAGTGCACAGCCCCAGCTGTGCCTCCCCCACTGCATCTGGTGTCATTGATGATGCCAGGGATTGATTGACACCATTCCAGACAGGCTGCCGCTGCCTTCAGTCCCTGCTCTGAAGAGGTACATCTGCTGCCATTAGGATAGGGACAATGACTGCTCTTAACTGCTTCATGCTGACAGGGGGCATTGTTTATGGGGAAAATGGCAGTTATGTCTTCTTAGAGGCCCTATCTAAGGGTCCCTAGTAAAAGTAAAAGGGAGCCATCAGCCAAGTTTCCATTTGCATGACCATTTGGAGTTTGATGGCCCGAAGGCGAGAAGAGACAAACCGGGTTATTGGAAGACATGGATCAAAACAAAACAAAGGGGTAAGGACAGCTCAAAAACCCTGAGGCTACTCACATGCTCAAAATTAGAATATTGATCCAGATTTTTTATATTACGCATCCCTTTTGTCTCTTCTGAGCCGTAGTCAGAAATCACTGGTTGGTTCACAAGAGCAAGCTGGGTTAGTCTAAAATGCAGACCAAAACTTAAAAACAAAGTCCGGAGGGGGCTGAGGCAGCATGGAGCTGGCGTATCAGCACTGCCCCAAGCGTGCACATACCCAGCTATGTCATGACAGTGCCCAGGCTTGGCCACAACGTTGCTCCAAAATTAGAGTGGGTGCCAGGAGTGGGGAGAGGCCAGGCAGCAGGAGCAGACTCTTGCGAGACTGCAGGAGTGTCTTCCTAGGCCCTTGAGAGTGCAGAAATGCCTGGGTCTGCAGCTGTGGCTGGGTGGCTGCAGCTGCACCCAGGAGGGTAGGGCTCCTGCCCCTTCAACTTGGAAGTGGGCAGGGCTTCCACCTGTTCCTGGCTCTTGCAGCTTTGTGGAGTCCACAAGCTCCAGCCTTACCTCCCACACTGCAGCTGGCATCATGGCAGTGGCCACTCCAGATGCCCCACTACTACCATCACTTCCATGTTCATTGTGGCGTTATTTCCAATAGCCAAGATGTGGAATCAATCTAAGTGTCCATTAATGGGTGAATGGATGAAGAAAACATGTTATATATACACAGTGAAATATCATTCACCCTTAACAAAAGAAGGAAATCCTGTCATTCTCAACATCATGGATCAACCTGTAGGACATTATGTTAAGTGAAATAAGTCAGGCACAGAAAGACATACTCATGATCTTACTTATTATAAGTGTAGTGTAAAAATGTTGACCTCATAGAAACAGTGAAATGTTGATTATCAGAGGCTAGGGTGTGGGAGGAATTAGGGAGATGTTGGTTAAAAGACAGAAAAATTTATTTAAAGTGGAGGAATAAATTCAAAGACTTGTAAATCATGGTGACTGCAGTTAATAACAATATGTTGTATATTTGAAAATTGCTAAGACAGTAGATTTTAAGTGTTCGTACCAGAAGAAATGATAAGTATGTAAGGTAATGTATATGTTAAATAGCTTGATTTAGCCATTCTACAGGTATCAAAGCATCATGTTTTATATTATAAATATATATAATCAGTTAAAAAAAAGTACTGAGACTCTGAGAAAGGCATTAGTTAATTTGCCCATAGTTTTATATTTAGTGAATCCAGTGGTCTTACTTCAGATGTGTATTCTTAGCCAAAAGATGCACTTGCTTTCACCTCCACTTCTGTCCCTAAAAACTGAAAAGCAAAATAAAGAGGTGGAAAGAGGCTGGGTGCGGTGGCTCATGCCTGCAATCCCAGCACTTTGGGAGGCCAACATGGGCAGATCACGAGGTCAGGAGTTCAAGACCAGCCTGACCAACATGGTGAAACCCCATCTCTACTAAAAATACAAAAATTAGCTGGGCGTGGTGGCGCATGCGTGTAATCCCAGCTACTCAGGTGGCTGAGGCAGGAGAATCGCTTGACCACGGAGGTTGCAGTGAGCTGAGATCAGCGCCACTGCACTCCAGCCTGGGCTACAGAGTGAGACTCTGTCTCAAAAAAAAAAAAAAAAAGGAAAGAAATTCAGTAGCCATTTCATTCAGCCTTGCAGTTGATGCAGTCTTTAGCTAAACACTGGGATAGTTTGGGAGGGAAGGCCGTAGTTTGGGAGGGAAGGCCGTTAGTACAATTTTTTTATACGTTGTGCATAAGAAGCTTTTGAGTCATGGATCTTTGATAATTACTTTCAGTAGTAACGTATCCTCGGTAATTTTTTTTACTTTCAGTAATAACATATCCTAGACAAATTTTATGCATTTTTTTCCATACTTGAAAGAAACTTTTTATTAAAAAATAGTATTAATAACGGAGCATAATCTGGTAGGAGTGTTCATTACTACTGTTTTATTGTTTTTAAGTTTTTTCCATGGGTAGAGTAGGAAACACGCATTTTTGGAGAGAAAAACATGAATCCCAAATTTATCCTCATTCCAATTTAAGATAAAGATTTTGAGGGATTTTATTTACCACTTTGGTCTTACCCTTTTTGTATATCTTTTTCTTTTATTATCCTTTTACCTCTGTTCTCTGATTTTACATTTTTTTTTGCATTTTTTTTTTTTTTTTGCTAGATGCAGGCCTAGGTATTTTATTTTACTTTTCGTTATACAGTCTTCTCGATTATTTTAACTAAGCAGGTTTTTTTGGATGGTGGGAGGAGAAGGAGAAAACATTAAGTTGTCTGCTTCTTATTTATTTTACATATTGCTTATAATTCTCTTGTGAATTATTTTAGGGTTTTTATTGGTTGTTTTTGTTTTTGCCTTCCTGATATAAAAATTATATTGCTTGCAAATAAAGATTACTTTCCTTCTTTTTCTTCCATTTTTGGCCTCTAATGTTTTCTTTACTTGTGTTGTTTAAGATATTAAATAATAGAAGAGATAGTGGACATCCTTGTCTTATTCCTTATTTTAATGAGAAAGTACCTAACATTTCCAATTTAGTAAGTTGCTGGCTAATTGGGAAGTACAGACACATGTGTATATCTATATATCTGTATATCTATATCTATATCTATATGTATTCAGGCTAAAAAATACCTCTTAATTTCTATGTAAACGTTAAAATTTTTATTTTGGTAATTATGTATGATGTTGAATTATGTCACTTGAATTTTTAGCAGTTATGAAAATGAACATATAATCTTCTGTTAATATAATGGATTTTATTAATGCATTTTTAATATTAGAAACCTTTGAATTTCTGGCATGTACCCCTCTTTCAAATGTTTTTTAGTGTTTTGGATTCTTTTGCATATTATCTCATTTAAAGTTTTTGCATCATTATTCTTCAGTGTGTTTGATTTGTACAGTTTTCTGTGCAGTTTTGTGAAGTTTTGGGGCCAATGTTATATATCTGTTATATAAAAATAATTTGGAAATTTTCTTCCTTTTTAAAACCTAGTCCTTATTTTTATTTTATTCAGGCACTGTTTTAACAGATGATCAAGTACCTACCATGTGCTATTAACAATAAAATTGTAATGGTAGTTAATAGTTCCTTAGCTCTTAACTATATATTTGTCAGTATTCTAAGTACAGTTGATTCTCACTGCTTGAAGTAGATTTGTTCTGTGACGTAGCAGTGAATAATAAATTAGCTCTTACTGGAATTACAATGTTAGGTTCCTGTAAGCCTCTGGTCACAACATTTTTGTTCACCTATCAATACGTAACTTTTAAAAAATGTGTATTTCTGTTTAAAGACAACTTATTTAAAATATGTATTGTTGATTCATTAATATTGAACTCATGTCCCACAGCAGTATGACTCATGCCTGAAGGAAGCTTTTGTAACACACATATTTTCTCCTTAAGGCATATCACAGGCGTCTTGTGCTTAGGAACACTAGATAGCACTTGGGCATTCTAAATAGCCAAATCATCAACAAAAAGCACAAAAATGAGAACATTGTTGCACTTAATAGACTGTGAAAAGAATAATCCTTTATAGTATGAGAGCAGAAACAAAGCAGAGCATTTGTTCAGTTTCAGCTGATAGGATGCAAATCAGGTGACTCAAAATTCTCCTCCTCCTGCACATTTCCACAAATTATTGCCAAAGTGCTACGAATATTGATGTTGGGATACAAATAAATTTTATTGAGTAGACAAATTCATAAATGCGGAATCTGTGGATGAGGATTGATCGTATTTCTTTGTATTTAATATGTGTTCATTTATTGGTCATAGCAATCCTATGAGGTAGGTATTATAACACATACTATACAATAAAGAGGTTAAGTTCCTTGTACAGTGTTGAACAATCAATGAGTGTTTGAGGACACCACCAAAGTAGTATAACTGATACCAAGACATGTTGTTTACCCTTAGGAGCTATTTCTATCTAAAAGCGTTAAAGGTGTTTTGCTCAAATAACTAAATTTAAGGTAGTTTGAAATAAGTAGCATAAGTGTAGTGCTACCAAGATGTAGTGGATATTCAGAGGGAAGATTATTTTGGAGACCACGGAAAGGCTTTAGGTGATGGTTTCTAAATGGAGGCTTTTAGAATCAATAAGATTTCATCAAGTTGGCTTATGAGGATGTAGGAGATGAACTATTTCAGAAGGTACTCATTTTTTACATCAAATACGTTCAATGATTCTAGTCTTTTGGGAATAGGAAAGTGATGGTGAAGGGGCAACCTCTTTAGTTTTCAGTTTTCGGGATTCATATACTCACTCTATGACCATTTTTTCCAGTACTATTTAAAAATTTATTCTGCCTTTGTAATACTGGGAACTAAAGCATAGCACCATTAATTGGAAGTCTTAAAGATGAACAAGGCAATGTTTTAATGTAAATGTATGATTTTCTTATTATGGAAGAAGAAAAACCAATAATAGATTGACATTTGTGCAATAGGACTGCAAATAGTGGGTGTTTTGTGGGAGAAAAAATTGTTTCCCAATTTTTTGGGAAAAATTCAAGTAAATATTAAAAATTGCTGAAATACAAAGATTTTCCCCCATATACAATACTTTTGTAATATACTCATCATGTTTTTCAATGCATCTCATTAGCCATACCTCTTAACTGCATTGTAAAAACCAAAAAATTAAGAGGGAATATTTTAAACCAAATATTCTAACTTCAATAGGCATCATAGTGATTATCATTTCAGATTTGGTGTCCTTGTAACTGGGCTGATTTATCATAGGTGGTGGATGTGTAAACTTACCTGTGTATGATCTTGTTGAGGGCAAGAATTGTGGCTTTTCATTTTTTGCGTTTCTGATAACCAGCAAAGTTCCTATCACATAGAAAGCCCTCAGGAAATGTTACTGCCTACCTAAATGAATACTCCAAAACCCTTTATGACTAATAATTTCTATGTAAATATTGTAGATTGTGTTGATCAGTGTTCTTCCATTCTATGTATTAATGTTTTATTTTCAGTGCAACACTGTGAGAGTGATCAAAGTGCAAAAATCCTGTCCTTATATTTAGCTTTATAATCAGAAAACACCATACTAATCCATAATTTTTTTTCACACCATTGGCCTGCTTTTCTTTTTATTGTTAGTTTTGTTTTTATTGTCAGAGAATGTTAGGTAATTTCCCAGCATAACTTTCTCAAGAATATATTTCCTCATTACTGCAGTGAATAACTCAGTGATGTGAAATTAGAAGATAACCTATTCTGTTTCAGCACCAGTGCTTTGACACATATAACTTGAAATGTGAATACGAATTTTGTTTTTTCATGTTAAAGGATTCAATTTTTCATCAGTTACTTAGATCTTCATAAAATCTGAAGTTAGGAAGGAACTTTACTAATTATTAAGTCCTATTCCATTTTAATGCCTGCAATAGTAAATGTTTATTTATGATAAAACTCTGATTAGGTAGTAGGGAAAATTCAAGGTCAAAAGTACAAATTTCTACCAAACTAAAGAAAGAATATGTTAATATGACTTGCAAGCTTGGATTCATATATATTAAGGAGGGGGGTGGAAGATGACAGTTTTAAGAATCACATAGTGTTCAACAAAAAGCCAATAAAAAGTCCTCTCTGTGCCAAGAGTTATTGAACATTTTGAAATAAGAGTTATAAATTAATTCATATATTTCAATATTATCAACATTTGCTCTTGGTCAAGTTCCCCTCCTCTCCCAAGAAGAGATTGTTTTTTGATCCAGTGTTCAATTTTGGTTCTCTCCGTTAAACATATCAAGCTTACAAGACTAAGATAGGTGTCACTGAGAATGTATTTTATTAAAAACAATTGAAAAAATTGTATTCTTAAACATGGGATCATATTTGGAGTCTTGGTGTCTATGAAATCCTCCTGGTACAAAATTTATATATGGATAAAAACTAAAACAGTAGGATTTTGAAATCTTTTAACTTTTAGATTACAAAAAGAATATGGGAAATACAGAAACACACAAGAAGCAAGTTTTAAAATCCCTGTAATCCCTCTATCCAGAAATAGTAATATTTTGATGTATACATTTTCAGGGTTTTTTTGTGTGTGTGTGGTGTATGCACACACATCTATACTATTTTACAAACTTTGAATCATACCGTACGAACACTTTTGTTCCTTGCTTTTTTCAACTTTGTGAACATTTTCCTATGCCACCAAAAATTTAGTTCAAAGTCATTTAAAATGGTTATATAATTTTCCACTGAATGCCTGTATCATAAGTGATCTTCAGCAGTAGGACATTAGATATATAGATATATCCAGTTTTCAATTATGAACTGTTATGCTAAGTATTTTTATGTAGCTTTTTATACACAATTCCTATTTTTGTATGGTGAAGGGAATGGGATTTTAATTCTTATATTGAATGTACCTTGCAACTATACTTCTGTTTTATCTTAGATATTATCAAATGATATATTTAAATATTTATCTTGGTAAATAAATACTTGATAAGTTAGGTCACTTTTGTCACAAACAAAATTTTTAATTTTTTATTCTATTTCTACATAGGTCAGTTGTAGTTGTAATGAAGGAATCATAATTCCTCAAATCTAAAAATTAGAAAGATGGAAACTGATATTTCTTCACATTTAATAGTTTGATTATACATCTTATGATTAATGTTAGTATTATCTGAGACAAATATTTCACTGTCCTTTATGTAAAGTTCTTTATGTACATTGTCCACTATGACAAAATATGTCTCTTAATTTAGGTCTTGGGGAATGAACACTTGTTTTTAATATTAGCCTATCAGAGTAAGCACTTTAATTGGATTAGCTCATTTAATTCTCATAACATTGCATGAACTATAGGTAGCATTTTATCCTATTTTATACATGAGGAATTCTGACTCATAGAGTCCTCATGTGTCATAGAGTCCTTTGTAGAGCTGCAAAGTATAGGCAGTAATATAGGTGGTAGTATCATGATTGATTTGTAGGAACTCTGTTACTGGCACCTGCATTTGTAAACATCTACAGCAGGAATGTATGCCATTTAATGCTTTTGTTTTTTTTCTTCTACTCTAATTGAAGATTATTTTCCAAAGTTATTCTCTTAACAAAAATTGAAAAATATACTATATAGAATATGTATATAGATATTTGTATGCATATGTATGTGTACGCATTCGGGTATGAATAGAAATCCACAAACCTAACTGAATAGTTGCTTTGCAGACACTTGGTTATGAAACACTATCCACTGACCGAAATATTTTTTCTGGCTATAATTTTGGAGTATAATTAAAATATAAACTTGTAAGTTCCTCTTTTTAAAAAGATACTTTAGAAAAACAGATTTTACTCTTTTCATTAGAAAAATATTCCAATATGTAACAGTATATATACTCAGAAATGCATATGTCTGATTTAAAATGATTTATTCTTTAGTTTTAAGCCTATGTATATATTTTAAAAATAATTTCTTATTTTAGGTTCGGGGGTACATGTACAGATTTGTTACATGGGTATATTGCATGATGCTGAGGTTTGGGATATAGATGATCCTGTCACCCAGGTACTGAGCATAATATCTGATAGGTAGTTTTTCAGCCCATTTCCCCCTCCCTCCCCCCTCCCTCCTTTAGACAACTCTAAATGTCTATTGTTCTCATCTTTCTGTCCATATGTATTCCGTTATTTAGGTCACGCTTACAAGTGAGAACATACAGTATTTGGTTTTCTGTTCCTGTGTTAATTAGGATAATGGCCTCCAGCCACATCCATGTTGCTGCAAAGGACACATTTCAGTCTTTTTATGGCTGCGTAGTATTCCATGGTGTATATGTGCCACATTTGCTTTATCGACTCTACCATCGATGGGCACCTAGGTTGATTCCATATCTTTGCGATCGTGAATAGTGATGCAGTGAACATATCGGTGCATATGTCTTTTTTTAGGATAATTTATTTGCCTTTGGGTATATACCCAGTAATGGGATGGCTGGGTCAAACAGTAGTCCTGTTGTAAGTTTTTGAGACATCTCTCAACTGCTTTCCACAGTGGCTGAACTAACTTGCATTCCCACCAAGAGTGTATATGTGTTCCCTTTTCTCCCCAGGCTTGTCAGCATTTATTATTTTTTGACTTTTTAATAATCACCATTCTGACTGGTGTAAGATGGTATATTGTTGTAGTTTTGATTTGCATTTCTCTGATGATTAGTGATGATGAACATTTTTCATTTATTTCTTGGCCACTTACAATGTCTTCTTTTGATAAGTGTCTATATCCTTTGCCGATTTTTTTTTTTTTTTTTTTTGAGACGGAGTCTCACTCTGTCGCCCAGACTGGAGTGCAGTGGCAGGATCTCAGCTTACTGCAATCTCTGCCCCCCAGGTTAACACCATTTTCCTGCCTCAGCCTCCCGAGTAGCTGGGAGTATAGGTGCCTGCCACCAAGCCCGGCTAATTTTTTCTATTTTGTTTAGTAGAGACGGGGTTTCACTGTGTTAGCCAGGATGGTCTCGATCTCCTGACCTCTTGATCTGCCCGCCTCGGCCTCCCAAAGTGCTGGGATTACAGGTGTGAGCCACCGCACCTGGCCCCATTTTTTAAAGGAGTTATTTGTTTTTTGCTTGTTGATTTAAGTTTCTTATAGATTCTGGATATTAGACCTTTGTCAGATGCATAGTTTGTGAATATTTTCTCCCATTCTCTAGGCTGTTTACTGTTGATAATTTATTTTTCTGTGCAGAGCTATTTAGTTTAATTAGGTCCCACTTGTCAATTTTCATTTTTGTTGCAATTGCTTTTGGGGACTTAGTCATAAATTCTTTGCCAAACCTGATGTCAAGAAGTGCATTTCCTAGGTTTTCTTGTAGGATTTTTGTAGTTTGAGGTCTTATCTTTACATCTTTAATCCATCTTGGGTTAATTTTTGTATGCGGTGAAAGGTAGAGACTAGCTTCATTCTTCTGCATGTGGCTAGACAGTTATCCCAGCACCATTTATTGAACAGGGAGTCCTTTCCTCATTGCTTCCTTTTGTTGACTTTGTTGAAAATCAGATGGTTATGGGTGTATGGCTTTATTTCTGGGTTCTTTGTTCTGTTCCATTGGTCTATGTGTCTGTTTTTGTACCAGTCCCGTGCTATTTTGGTTACTATAGCCTTATAGTATAGTTTGAAGTCAGGTAGTGTTCTTTTTGCTTAGTATTGCCTTGGCGATTTGGGATCTGCTTTTGTTCCATGTGAATATTAGAATAGGCTTTTCTAATTTTGCAAAAAATGATGTTGGTAGTTTGATAGAAATAGCATTGAATTTATAAATTGCTTTGACCAGTATGGCCATTTTAACAATATTGATTCTTCCAATTCATGGGCATGGAATATATTTCCATTTATTTGTCTTGTCTCTCATTTATTTCAGCAGTGTTTTGTAGTTCTTGTAGAGATCTTTCACCTCTTTGGTTAGATGTATGCATAGGTTTTTGCTATTGGAAATTGGTGTGTGTTCTTGATTTGGCTCTCAGGTAGAATGTTTTTGGTGTATAGAAGTGCTATTGATTTTTGTACATTGATTTTGTATCCTTATTTATCAGTTCCAGGAGCCTTTTGGCAGCATCTTTAATGTTTTCTAGGTATGGAATCATATCATCACTGAAGAGAGGTAATATGACTTCCTTTCCTATTTGAATGTATTTTATTTCTTTCTTTTGTCTGATTATTCTGACTAGCACTTTCAGTACTATGTTGAATAGGAGTGTTGAGAGTGGGCAGCCTTGTCTCATTCTAGTTCTCAAGGAGAATGACTCCGGCTTTTGCCCATTCAGTATGATGTTGGCTGTGGGTTTTTCATTGTGAGAATGAATAATAAGAATGAATAAGGTTTTTCATTCTTATTATTGTGAGGTATGTTCCTTCGAAGCCTTGTTTGTTGAGGGTTTTTATCATAAAGAGATGTTGGATTTTGTAGAAAGCTTTTTCTTGTCTATTGAGATGATCATATGCTTTTTGTTTTTGATTCTGTTTATGTGGTGAATCACATTTATTGATGTGCATATGTTGAACCAACCCTGCATCCAAGAATACAGCCTACTCGATCATGGTGAATTAACTTTTTAATGTGCTGCTGGATTCATTTCGCTAGTTTTTTTTTGTATTTTTGTGTTTTTTTTTGTTTTTTTAGGGTTTTGTGTTTGTGTTCATTTGGGATATTGGCCTGAAGTTTTCTTTTTTGTTGTGTCTTTGCCAGATTTTGGTATCAGGATAATTCTGGCCTTGTAGAATGAGTTAGGGAGCAGGGGGAGTCCCTCCTCCTCAATTTTTTTGAATATTTTCAGTAGGATTGGTGCCAGTTCTTATTTGTATGCCTGGTAGAATTCAGTGTGAATCCTTCTAGTCCATGGCTTTTTTTTTGTTGGTAGGTTTTTAATTACTGACTCAAATTTGGAACTTGTTATTGGTCTTTTCAGGTTTTCACTTTCTTCCTGGTTCAATCTTTGGAGGTTGTGTGTTCCCATAAATTTATTTCCTCTAGATTTCTTATTTGTGTTCATAGAGATGTTCATAATAGTCTCTGAGGATGTTTTGTATTTCTGTGGGATCAGTTGTAATGTCATCTTTGTCATTTCTGTTTGTGCTTATTTGGATCTTCCCTTTTTCTCCTTTGTTAATCTAATGAGAAGTCTGTCAATCTTTTTTATTCTTCCGATAAACCTACTCTTCTTTCCATTGATCTTTTGTATGGATTTTTGTGTCTTAATTTAATTCAGTTCTGATCTTAATTATTTCTTTTCTTTTATTAGCTTTGTGGTTTTTTTTTTTTTTCTAGTTCCTCTAGGTACAAAGTTAGATTGTTAATTTGAGATCTTTCTAATTTTTGATGAATGCATTTGGCACCGTAAACTTTCCTCTTAACATGCTGTAGTTCCATCCCAAAGATTTTGTTAATATGTGGTTCTGTTTTTGTGAATTTCGAATAGTTTTTTGGTTTCTGCCTTCATTTCATTATTTCCCCAAAACTTATTCAAGAGCAAATTCCTTCCTTTTCATGTATATGTGTAGCTTTGAGAGATCTTCTTGGTGTTGGTTTTTGTTTTTATTGCACTGTGATGTGAGAACGTGCTTAATATGATTTTGATTTTTTTGAATTTATTGAGACTTGCTTTATGACCAAAACATTTGGTTGATCTTAGAATATGTTTCTTATGCAGATGAGAGAAATGTATATTATGTGATTTTGGGTGGACTATTCTATAGATGTCTATTAGGTCCCATTGGTGGACTGTCAAGATTAAGTCTGGAATTTCTTTGTTAGTTTTCTTCCTCAGTGATCTGTCTAATCCTGTCACTGGGGAGTTGACATCTCCCAGTATTATTATGTGGCTATTGAGGTCTTTTTCTAGGTCAAAAAGGACTTGTTTTATGAATCTGGATGCTCCAATGTTGGGTGTGTATAGACTTAAGGTAGTTAAGTCTTCTTGTTGAATGGAACCCTTTGCCACTATGTAATACCCTTGTTTGCCCTTCTTAATTGTTTTCAGTTTAAAGTCTGCCTTATCTGATATTAGAATTGCAACTCCTGCTCTTTATTGTTTTCCATTTGTATGGCAGTTCTTTTTCCCTTTAATTTTGAGGCTTTCGGTATTGTTACATGTGAGATGCATCTTCTTGAAGACAGCAGACAGTTGGATCTTGTCTTTTTGTCCAGCTTGCCATCCTATGCCTTTTAAGTGGGTCTTTATTCCATTCACATTCTGGGTTGGCATTGATATGTGAAGTTTTGATACAGAAATTGTGTTTTTAGCTGGTTGTTTTGTAGAGTTGTTTGCATAGCTGCTTTATAGTGTCTATGGGCTATATGCTTAATTGTGTTTTTGTGGTATCAGATACTGTTCTTTTACTTTCATGTTTAGCACTCCCTTATGGACTTTTTATAAGGCTGGTCTAGTGGTTACAAATTCTTAGCATTTGAAGCTTACTTTGGTGGGATATGAAATTCTTCATTGGAATTTATTCTTTTTAAGGCTACTGAAAATTGGTTTCCGATCTCTTCTGGCTTGTAAGTTTCTGCTGAGTAGCCCGCTACTATCCTGATGGGGTTTCCTTTATAAGTGACCTGACTCATCTCTCTAGCTGCCTTTAAGATTTTTTCTTTAACATCGGCCTTGGTGAATCTGATGTCTGTGTGTCTTGGGGATGGTCATCTTGTATAAAACTCACAAGAGTTTTCTGTATTTCTTGAATTTGCATGTTGATATCTCTAGTGAGATTGGGGTATTTTTCATAAACTGTATCTTCAAATATGTTTTCAAAGTTGTTTTCTCTCTCAGGAATGCCAATGAATCCTAGGTTTGGTCTCTATATAATCCCATATTTTTCAGAAATTTTTTTCATTTTTAAAATATTCTTTTTTCCTTATTTTTGTCTAAGTTGAATTGAAAGAACTAAACTGGTCTTCAAGCTCTGAGCTTCTTTTCTCAGCTTAGTCTATTCTGCTGTAAATGCTTCTGATTGTACTATGAAGTTCTTGTAGTGAATTTTTCAATTTTAGAAGTTCAGTTCGGTTCTTTTTAAAAATGGCTATTTTGTCTTTCAGCTCTTGGATAGTTCTACTGGATTCCTTTGATTCCTTGAATTGGTTTCACCTTTCTCGTAAAGCCATTGAACTTCCTTGTTATCTAGATTCTGAATTGTCTGTCATTTCAGTCATTTCAATCTGGTTAAGATCTATTGCTGGGGAGCTTCTGCACTCTTTTGGAAAGAAGAGGACAGTGACTTTTTGAATTGTTAGAGTTCTTTTGCTGATTCTTTTTCATCTGAGTGGGCTGGTGTTCCTTTAACTGTGGTATAAGTTGAGTATACTCAATTGGCTTCTTTTCTAAGTGTTTTCAGAGGGCCAAGACTCTGTACAGGATTTTTATTTGTGAGTAGATTCTTTCCCTGGGTTTCACAGATGATGTATATTGGCAGAATATTTTTGGTGTTGTAATTTGGTCTGTCAACCAGTAGATGGTGCTTAAGTATAATGGCCGATAGATAGGCTTTGGCTCTGACTTGTCGCTCTTTTGTATTTCAGCAAGTTTAGAGCACCGCTGTCTTCCCTAGGAGCCATTCAGTGGCAGGAACTAGCCCTCACATTCGGAAACCCCACACAGGTTTCCCAGTTTCCTCTCTCTTCACCCTCAGTGTCTATGTTGCCTTTGAACTCTTGGTGTTTCCTCTCTGAAGATTTGTTCAAAGTATGTTTGTTTACTTGATATTTTGGTCTCTCTTGGTGGCATAGGCACTTCCTGGCTGTGTCTAGTCAGCCATCTTGTCTTCTGTGCCCTCTCAAATCCTTCTTCAAGCCAGTATTTTTGTTATTGCCATTGAAATAGACAATAATTGTCCTAATGTTAAGGAAAAATTTATTCAGTGATACTTGTTAAAGTACATTAAGGAAGACTTTATTTAGGGTCATTGCGATAGATGTAAGGACCACTGACATGGGATTTTACAGTGAGGGAGAGAGACTCACAATACAACATGGGCAAGTGGGAATTTATAGCCAATGAGAAGGGATGGAGAGTTAGTAGATAGAAAATTACTAAAAGGAAATATCAGACTTAAAAGGTGATTCTGGCTAAACTCACCTAGAAGGATTTTTTTCTGAAGACAGGCCAAGATAATCAGACATCTCCTGGGGATGGTGGGGAATGAAGAATGCAATTAGATATCCAGGGTGATCAGTTATCAATGTTTTTGCTGTACTGACTTAGCAGAGTTTTTTGCTAAAACTGAATTTTACAAGAAAGTGCACAGATGGGCCTAGGAGAAGGCTTGGTCAAGCAAATAATCTTCATCAGTTATAAAGCCCTTCACATAATAAAAGCGGCTTTAATAATTGTGAATTTAACCTTGCATAGAAATTTTTCAAATAAGAAACTAATATACTTCAAGAATATGCAGGGGATTTTTTACTAGTAATTTAGTTACATGTTTCCCTCTTTTTGTTCGTTAGAAGTTACATGAGGGCAGTTATGACTTCTGTTCACTAAGGTTAATTCCATTGAATACATACAAAGCATTATTTTCAAGGCCAAGGCCATTGGTAGTGGTGGTAGGGGCTGGAACAAAGAAATTTATTAGATAAGATACCCTTAACACTGATATACGTCCATTTTGTTTTAAGAGCATTTCTGTAGAGACAAAAAAGCATAGAAAATATACTCATTGCTATTTGGAGTACTTTGTGGTAAATCTGGAATCCTTGCTTTTGCTTTTATAGTAGTTCCATAACAAGGTTATTTTTAAAACATCATCCAAAACTGAAATTTCAACATTAATTGGATTGGCACTTCTAGTTGTAAATCAGCACTTCCAGTCATAAATCTTGAGGAAATTGGTATCAGACCTCATGATATTCTGTTTTCAGTAGGTTAGTTTTCTCAGCATTATTTTGTGCTAAGGAGAAGAATCTCTGTGTTTTAAACCTTTTCAAAGCTATGTAACTTGATATTTGCTCTTTTAAAATCTTAGCCATCAAATACCAGCTCTACTGCCTGTGTCCGTGGCTTTCCATTCTCCCTATCATTGCCCTGTTAGGGCATCATTATCAGTTAGAGAGACTTGTATTGCTTCCATACTATTCTTCACTGCTAGATGAAAGTTTCTAAAGTTTAGCTCTTATCCTGTCATTACAAACTTGAATATGTAGAATAATTCCCCATTGACTAATGTGTTTTCTGTGGCCTAACATTTCTATCCTTTTTGTGTGATTTCATCCCCCATCTACTTTTTTAGTTTTATATTCCATCGTTCTTTTTTCTTCGCCTAATACTTAAACTGTTCTCTAAATAGCCCAACACCAATATGTGTATTTATCATTTTCTTTACATTGTTTTATTTCTCTGAAATGGCCTTTCTTCAGTTTTGCATGCCTAAACTCTACCAAATGAGCCCAATTGTAATGACTTTTCCATGAAGGCCTTCAAACCAAGTTATCACTTGTTTTTCTTTGCTTTTATTATTTTTTTTAACTTTTAAAAATGTTTTCTTCTAACTTCTTTTTAATTTTTTTGTATTTATTTATTTATTGCCCTCAAACATTCTCCTATCCAGTTATTGTTCTTTTATAAAGCTCATCTCTCCTTCCCTCCCACATAGTTGCTCTGCATACTTTCTACTCCTCTTATTTAATTTTTTGTTTTGGAAAATTTAGGGACTATACAAAATAAACACAATGAAGTTTATAGTATGATGTATCACCATGTACCCATCACTCAGAAACAAGTTATCGTTATGACATTCTTGTTTCGTTTTTGCATTCCTCCACTTCTCACCATCCACTCAGTCATTGGTAATTCTTTAAGATAAAATTTACATAATTCAAATTCACAAATCTGAGCTGGACAATTACGACAATTAAGTAAACACATGAAACCCAATCCCCCTTTCAAAGTATAGATAGAATGTTTCTTTCTCTCCAGAAACTTTCTATTGCCTCTTTCCAGTCAGTCTTCCCACCCTCATAGGACGGCTTTAACTTTTCTTCACCTTTTGTTTTACCTTTCTTGTTCTTTCCATGTAAATGGAATTACACTCTGTGTAAGTCTTCTTTTGCTCAACATGTTTCTGAGATTTATCTCTTATTATTGCTTGGAACAATAGTCCATTCCATTTTATTACTTAGTACTATTCCATTCTGTGACTGTTTTATAATTTGTATATCCATTTGGTTTATGGACTTTTTGATTATTTTCAGTTTTTAGCTATTATGAGTAAAGCTGCTGTGAATATATACATGTAAGCCTTTTTGTGGATATTACTGATTCTTGTTATTCACTCTAGTTATGTTCTGTAAAGTCACCGTGGACACTGAATTATTGAATACTGAACCATTGCTTCTAGGGGAAATATAGGGTTAGGTTCTTGTGATCCTCTGGTCACAACATTTTTGTGAACTGATCAACATATAATTTTGTTTTATGTGTGTTTCTGTTTAAAGGCACCTTATTTACTATATATTGTTGTTTCATTAACATTGAATTCACAGCCAACAGCACTAGAACTGATGTCTGAATAAACTTTATCTAAAATGTATTTTCTCCTTAAGGCACACCACAGCCTTCTTGCACTCAGGAATACTACACAGCACTTCAGTATTCTTCATGGCACCATTCTACACAACAAAATCACCAACAAAATGCATCACAACTTGAAAAACATGGCAAAAAATAGATCATGAAAAGGACGCTTGTTTACAGTATGATTGCCAAAACAAGAGAGAGTATTGGTATGTTCCACATCAGCTGAGAATGTACCTGTCTGCTGACTCAAATTTTTGCTGCTCCGTACACATCTACAAATTATTGTGAAAGAGCTTCAAGTATTGATTTTGGGGTTACTAACAAATTTTAGTTAGGAGGTGAATTCACAAATGTGCAATCTGTGAATAATGAAGATTGTATATGTTCTTATTTTTCTTGGATAGATATTAGTATTCACAAATGTGCAATCTGTGAATAATGAAGATTGTATATGTTCTTATTTTTCTTGGATAAATATTAGTATAATTGATGGGTTAAATAGCATCCATACTTTATAAGATACTGCCAAGCCTTTTTCTAATTGTAGTTGCACCATTTTAAATTCTTATTATTAATGCATAAGCATTCCAGTTGTTTCATATATTCATCAACATTTGATATTATCAGTCTTTCATTTTACTCATTGTAGCACTCATTTGATTTTTCCTTGCTGTAGTTATGTGTTTATGTCTTATCTCTCCCGGCTGGAAATTTTTTGGCGGCAGTATATAATTTGTATTTGTATTTGCCAAACTAATATTTTGGAGAGATACTATACCTTTGTTGTTATGTGCACAAACGTTGGAGCTAGAATGCCTGTGGTCAAAGCTCAACTCTCCCACTTACAAATTTTGAGGCCGTAGATAATGAAAATAACATAACAGTAAAATAACTTTTTATAACTATATTAATTTGGGTCTCTCAACAAACAATTATTATTAGTAGTTTGGAAATCAAGCCTTTTTGAGGTTAGATAGCTTGTCCCAGATCAAACGAGTAAGAGGTACCAGAACAAGATTTCAAATTCAGGTCTAACTTACTCCAAAGCCAGTGCTCTTAACTACTGCACAATACAGTATTGCCGCCTAAATCCCACTTTAAAACCTACCATATGTCATTAAATTAATGCTCATCATCCTCTATTAAGATGTAAATGATATTGAATTAATTTAAAACTTATTCACTTATTGTAATAGATTATATACTTTTTGCTTTTCTACATGCAAAATGATGTTATTTGATATTAATAGTAATTATATTCTTTCACTCCAAAACTTTAGCTTTTTTTTTTTTTTGCCTATTGTGATGTCTAGCACCACCAGTTCAAATTTGAATAGAAATGATAATAGTGCATATTTTTTGTCTCGTTTCCAATTTAAAAGGGAAAGTTTTTAATATTTCATGATTAAACTTCAAGATGTTTTATGTATTCTTTTTTATGATTTTTTTCTTTATTTCTTGTAAAAAAATGGGATACATATGCAGAACCTGCAGATTTGTTACATAGGTATACATGTGCCATGGTGGTTTGCTGCACATATTGACCCATCCTCTAAGTTCCTTCCCCTAACCGCTCATCACCCAACAGGTCCTGGTGTTTGTTATTCTCCTCTCTGGGTCCATGTGTTCTCACTGTTCAACTCCCACTTATGAGTGAGAACGTGCAGTGTTTGGTTTCTGTTCCTGTGTTAGTTTGCTGATAATTATGGCTTCCAGCTTCATTCATGTCCCTGCAAAAGACATGATCTCATTCTTTTTTATGGCTGCATAGTGTTCCATGGTGTATACGTATCACATTTTCTTTATCCAGTCTATCATTGGCATTTGGGTTGGTTCCGTGTCTTTGCTATTGTAAATAGTGCTGCAATAAACATACCTGTGCATGTGTCTTTATAGTAGAATGATTTATAATCCTTTGGGTATATACCCAGTGATGGGATTGCTGGGTCAAATGGTATTTCTGGTTCTAGATCCTTGAGAAATGGCCATACTGCCTTCCACAATGGTTGAACTGATTTACATTCCCACCAGCAGAGTAAAAGCGTTCCTATTTCTCCACAGCCTCGCCAGCATCTATTGTTTCTTGACTTTTTAATAATTGCCGTTCTGACTGGCATGAGATGGTATCTCATTGTGGTTTTGATTTGCATTTCTCTGATGGTCAGTGGTGTTGAGCTTTTTTTTTTTTTTTTGTATGTTTGTTGGCCATGTAAATGTCTTCTTTTGAGAAGTGTCTGTTCATATCTTTTGCCTACTTTTTGATGGGGTTATTTTTTTCTTGTAAATTTGTTTAAGTTCCTTGTAGATTCTGGATATTAGACCTTTGTCCAATGTGTAGATTGCAAAAATTTTCTCCCATTCTGTAGGTTGCCTATTCATTCTGATGATAGTTTCTTTTGCTGTGCAGAAGCTCTTTAGTTTAATTAGATCCCATTTGTCAATTTTGATTTTTGTTGCAGTTGCTTTTGGCATTTTCATCATGAAGTCTTTGCCCATGCCTGTGTCCTGAATGATATTGCCTAGGTTTTCTTGTAGGTTTTTTTTTTATGGTTTTGGGTTTTACATTTAAGTCTTTAATCCATCTTGAGTTAATTTTTGTGTAAGGTGTAAGGAAGGGTCCAGTTTCAGTTTTCTGCATATGGCTAGCCTTTTTCCCAGGACCATTTATTGAATAGGGAATCCTTTCCCCATTGCTTGTTTTTGTCAGGTTTGTTGAAGATCAGATGGTTGTAGATGTGTGGTGTTATTTCTGAGATCTCTGTTCTGTTCCATATATGCCTGTTTTGGTACCAGTACCATGCTGTTTTGATTACTGTAGTATAGCTTGAACTCAAGTAGTATGATGCCTCCAGCTTTGTTCTTTTTGCTCAGGATTGTCTTGGCTATATGGGTTCTTCTTTGATTCCATATGAAATTTAAAGATTTTCTAATTCTATGAAGAATGTCAATGATAGTTTGATGGGAATAACATTGAATCTATAAATTACTTCGGGCAGTCTGTCCTTTCGGGTTTTCAGCATTTTTTCATTGATTCTTTCTCATCTTTGTGAGTTTGTCCAGTTTGATCTTTGAGGCTGCTGACCCATGGATGGGTCAGCTGTTGTTGTTGCTTTCTGTTTCTTTGTGTTTTGTTGTTGTTGTTGTTGTTGTTGTTTCAGTTGTCAGGTCCCTCTTCTGTAGGGCCACTGCAATTTGCTGGGGGTTCACTTCAGGCCCTATACATGTGGTTTGCTCCCGTGCCTGGAGATGTCACTCAAGGAGGCTGCAGAACAGCAAAGATGGGTGCCTGCTCCTTCTTCTGGGATCTCTGACCTTGAGGGGCACCAGCCTATGCCAGTAGGATTGCTCCTGTATAGGGTGTCTGACAACCCCTGTTGGAGGGTCTCACCCAGTTAGGGGCATGGGGAACAGGACCCCTTTTTTTTTTAGACGGAGTCTCGCTATGTTGTCACCAGGCTGGAGTGCAGTGGTGCCATCTTGGCTCACTGCAACCTCTGCCTCCCAGGTTCAAGCAATTCTTCTGCCGCAGTCTCCCAAGTAGCTGGGATTACAAGCGTGTGCCACCACGCCCAGCTAATTTTTGTATTTTTAGTAGAGACAGGGTTTCACCATGTTGGCCAGAATGGTCTTGATCTCCTGACCTCGTGATCTGCCTGCCTCGGCCTCCCAAAGTGCTGGGATTACAGGCGTGAGCCACCATCTGCGCCCGGCTGAACAGGACCCATTTAACGAAGCACTTTGACTGTCCATTGGTGGAGGGGTTATGCTTTACTTGGGGGAAGCACGTTGTCTGGGCTTCCCGGATTCCTCAGAACCACCAGGAGGAAAGGCTAAGTTTGCTGGTCTGCAGAGACTGCTGCCACCCTTTTCTCTAGGGGCTCAGGCCCCTACCCCAAGGAGCTGAAATGGCTTAGACAGCAGACAGCTGTAGCTGTGGTGCTGGTTGCCCCTCCTGTAGGGAGCTCAGTAGGCTTCAGCAGATTCCAGCTGAAAGGCTATTGAGAATCTGCAGAGCTCTGGGGTTGGGACGCTAGGGCCCAGTGGCATGGGTTCGCAAGTTGGATCTTCTGATCCATGGGTTGCGCAGTTCTGTGGAAAAACCACGGTTTCCCCAGCTGGGTGGAATGCTCACTCACTGCCTCCCTTGGCTATGGGGAGGGTGTTCCCCTGCCCCTGTGGCTCTCAGGTGGGCTGCCATACCACACTGTTCTTCCTTCCTCTTCATGGACCACACAAGCTTTCTGGTCAGTTCTGATGAGATAACCTGGATACCTTAATTGCTGGTGAGGGATTCACAGTCTTATTATGATTCTTTTCAATGGGAGCCTCCGAACATGGCTGTTTCTACTCTGCCATCTAGATAGTCTTAATCAGATTAAGGAATTTCCCTTTTTCCTAGGTCGCTGAGAGTTTTTTTTCATAAATGGATATTGAATTTTATTATTTTTTTAATTATTGAAATTATAGTTTATTTTCTTCTTTGAAAGAGAAATACATGTGTAGTGAATTACATTGATTGCATTCTTGAAATATTAAACCTTCCATGTATTCATTTCAATCACTTAGCTGAGATATATTTTGTAATAACTGGCTTTAATGTGCTAATTTTGTGCTTGGGACTTTCACATAAGTGATTATGAAAGAGATTATCTTCTAATTTTGTTTTTGGCTTGTGTTGATATCAAGGTTATTTTGGGAGGGCTAACATTTTTCTGTTTTCTGGAAGAGTTTCTAAAAGCTTGGTTTTATTTCTTCAGTATATATAACTGGTGGTATTTTTATTCTTTTCAATCTTACATTTTTTTCTTGTGTTATTGTAGTGGCTAGGATCTCTAGTACAATATTGAATAGAAGTGGTTTGAGTGAATATCCTTGGTTAGTTGAGAATTATTAGGATGATAGCCTTCAGTACTGTAATGTCATAAGCATTTTAAGTGCTAGGTGTTATTTATTGGCTACTTTTATTCATAAAAGTTCCACATGTTGTCCAGGCTGGTCTCGAACTCCTGACCTCAGGTGATCCACCTGTGTCTACCTCCCAAAGTGCTAGGATTACTGGTGTGAGCTACTGCGCCCGGCCGAGTTTATTTTTTAATCATACATTTGTGTTGAATTTTTAAATCAAATTTATCTATTGAAAAGGTTATATAGTTTTATCCATCAGTCTGTGTAGAGATGGTAAAATGTTAATCCAATATTGCATTTGAGGGATAGTATCCTTTCTGTATATTGCTGTATTCATTTTCTGTTTTTAAAAGGATTTTTGCATCTCTACTCATGGAAAATACTGGTCAGGGTCTATACTTCTGTTTTCATTTAATGTCCTTGGTCATTTGGTTTCAGGATTAGCTCACTTCATAAAGTAAGTTGAGAATTTAAATAGTTGACAGAGTTTACCAGTCATATTATCTGTGGCTAGAATCCTGGGTTGGAGTGTGTTATTTATGTTTCTGTTGGTGGTGGGAGGGTAGACATGACATGCAATAAACGGCACATTTTAAATTTATGGTTTTATGTATTATTCATTGTGAAATTGTAACTACATGGAAGATGGTGAACCTATCCATCACACTCTACAAGTTTCCCCTCAATTTTTTTGTGATTCTGGGTAATCTTTCCCTTTTGTTCTCCCTTATCTCCATCTATCACCAAACTGTATTTTCTTTTTCCCATAATGATCAGTTTGCATTTTCTAGAGCTTTATGTAAATAGATAGTTACAAGAGAAAGTCATTTTTTTCTGGCTTCCTTCACTCAGCGTAAGTATTTGGAGGTTTTTCATATAAAGTTTATTCTTTTTTGTTGTTCATTCATATTCCATTATATGAATATATTCACTTGATCATAGACATTTGGTTGTTTCTAGCTTTTGGCTATTACAAATAAAATGTACATGTGTAAGTCTTTGTATAGACATTTACTTTTTTATTCATTTCAGTAAATACCTGTGAATGAAATGGCTAGATCATTGGGTAGCTGTATGTTTAACTTTTTAAGAAACTGCTAAATTGTTTCCCAAAGTGGTTGTTCTCATTAACAGTGTAGGAAGGTTCAGTTTTTTCAGATCCTTACCCACATTTGTTATGTTTGGTCTTTTAAATTTTAACCACTGTAAAAGGTATCTAGTTGTATCTTATTATAATTTTAATTTGCATTTTCCTGTTGACTAGTAATGTTGAAGATATTCTCAGGTTTTTTTTTTTTTACCATATGTATATCTTTTTTTTGGTGAACTGTCTATTCAAACGTTTTATCCTTTTATGAAATTGAGTTTTTTCCTTATTGTTGAGATTTGAGAGTTCTTTATATATTCAGAATGCAAGTAAGACATATGCTTGTAAATATTTACACACAGTCTTTGACATCTTTTCATTCTCATAGCAGTGTCTTTCACATCTATCTTGAGACTTATTCCTAAGCATTTTTATATTTTACATGTTATTTTAATTGGCATTTTAAAATGTTTCATTTAATTTTATTTTCCATTTGTTCATTGGTAGTATGTAGAAATACAATTGATTTTTGTATATTGACCTGGTATTCTGCAACTATGCTAAACATACTTATAGTTCTAGCAGCTTTTGTGTAGTTTTGGGGAGCAAATAGGGTCCTGATAGAGAGATGGCTTTATGGAAGAAGTACAAGGACCCTTACGGGCCAGGTTAGGAGATGTAAGGAGATTCCTCAGGATTTGATCGCCAGTGTTTTTGTCTAAGTGTTGGATATATGGAGTGGGTGTGGAGGGAATTACCCCACTGCCCTACCTGTTAATGAATGTTTAGAGGTTAGGCAGAGGGTTCAGGCAAGCTGCCTAAATGGTTCTCGGTTGTTGTTCACACTTACCCATGTGATAGAAAAAGTGAAGGTTATCCTGACAGTGTGGTAATAAGTCCTGTGCCTCTACTCAAAAGGCAGTATTGCTATGGCTGCATAAAGGATCCCTGAGGCTGAAGTAACATATGTCAGCAATGAGGATACAGGCCTTTAGGTAAACTAATGTATTAGTCCATTTTCAAACTGCTGATAAAGACATACCTGAGACTGGGCAATTTACAAAAGAAAGAGATTTAATGGACTTACAGTTTGATATGGCTGGAGAGGCCTCACAATGATGGCAGAAGGCAAGGAGGAGCAAGTCACATGGATCATGGCAGGCAAAGAGTGAACCTGTGTAGAAAAACTCCCATTTTTAAAACCATCAGACCTCATGAGAACTCATTCATTATCATGAGAACAGCACGGGAAATACCTTCCTCCCCAATAATTCTGTCACCTCCCACCAGGTTCTTCCCATGACACGTGGGAATTGTAGGAGTTACAATTCAAGATGAGATTTGGCAGAGGGGACACAGCCAAACCATATCAGTCTATCTCTGACCGCTCTCAAATCTCATATCCTCACATTTCAAAACCAGTCATGCCTTCCCAACAGTCCCCCAAAGTTTTAACTCATTTCAGCTTTAACTCAAAAGTCCACAGTCCAAAGTCTCACCTGAGACAAGGCAAGTCCCTTCTGCCTATAAGCCTGTAAAATCAGAAGCAACTTAGTTACTTCCTAGATACAATGGAGGTACAGGCATTGGGTAAATACAACCATTCCAAATGGGAGAAATTGGCCAAAACAAAGGGGCTACAGGCCCCATGCCAGTCCCAAATCCAGCAGGGCTATCAAATCTTTTTTTTTGAGAGAGAGAGTCTAACTCTGTCGCCCAGGCTGGAGTGCACTGGCGTGATCTTGGCTCACTGCAAGCTCTGCCTCCCGGGTTCACGCCATTCTCCTGCCTCAGCCTCCTGAGCAGCTGGGACTACAAGCATCCACCACCAAGCCCAGCCAATTTTTTTTTTTTTTTTTGTATTTTTAGTAGAGATGGGGTTTCACTGTGTTAGCCAGGGTGGTCTCGATTTCCTGACCTCATGATCCGCCTGCCTCGGCCTCCCAAAGTGCTGGGATTACAGGCATGAGCCACTGCACCCAGCCAATTTTTTTTTTTCGTATTTGTAGTAGAGATGGGATTTCACCATGTTAGCCAGGATGGTCTCTATCTCCTGACCTCGTGATCCACCTGCCTCGGCCTCCCAAAGTGCTGGGATTACAGATGTGAGCCACAGTGCCTGGCCAGGGCTGTCAAATCTTTTTTTTTTTTTTGAGACAGAGTCTCCCTCTGTCGCCCAGGCTAGAGTGCAATGGCACGATCTCAGCTCACTGCCAGCTCCACCCCCTGGGTTCACACCATTCTCCTGCCTCAGTCTCCTGAGTAGCTGGGACTACAGGCACCCGCCACCATGCCCAGCTAATTTTTTGTATTTTAGTAGAGACGGGGTTTCACCATGTTAGCCAGGATGGTCTCGATCTCCTGACCTTGTGATCCACCGCCTCGGCCTCCCAAAATGCTGGGATTACAGGCGTGAGCCACCGCACCCAGCCGGCTGTGAAATCTTAAAGCTCCAAAATGATCTCCTTTGACTCCATATCTCATGTCCGGGTCATGCTGATGCAAGAGGTGGGTTCTCATGGTCTGGGCAGCTCCACCCCTGTGTCTCTGCAGGATACAGCCTCCATCCCAGCTGCTTTCATTGGCTAGTAGTGACTGTCTGTGGCTTTTCCAGGCACACAGTGCTGTCGGTGGATCTGCCATTATGGGGTCTGGAGGATGGTGGCCCTTTCTCACAGTTCCACTAGGTTGGAGCCCCAGTAGGAACTCCATGTGGGTGATTCAACCCCACATTTCTTTTCTGCACTGCCCTAGCAGAGGTTCTTCATGAGCGCCCCACCCCTGCAGCAAACTTCTGCCTGGACATCCAGGTATTTACGTACATCCTGTGAAATCCAGGTGGAGGCTCCCAAACCTCAGTTCTTGACTTCTATGCACTTGCAGGCTCAACACCACATGAAAGCTGCCAAGGCCTGGGGCTTGAACCCTCTGAACGCATGGCCTGAGCTTATACTGGCCCCTTTCAGTCATGGCTGGAGCAGCTGGGATGCAGGGCACCACCTTTCTGGACTGCACACACCATGGGGACCCTTGGCCCGGCCCACAAAACCATGTTTTCCTCCTAGGCCTTTGAGCCTGTGATGGGAGGGGCTGCCATGAAGACCTGTGACATGTCCTGGAGACATTTTCCCCATTGTCTAGGGGATTAACATTCAGCTCCTCATTACTTTTGCAAATTTCTGCATCCGGCTTGAATTTCTCCTCAGAAAATGGGATTTTCTTTTCTTTCGCATTGTCAGGCTACAAGTTTTCCAAACTTTTATGCTCTGTTTCCCTTTTAAAACTGAATGCCTTTAACAGCACCCAAGTCATGTCTTGAATGCTTTACTGCTTAGAAATTTCTTCCATCAGATACCCTAAATCATCTCTCTCAAGTTCAAAGTTCCACAGATCTCTGGGGCAGGGGCAAAAAGCTGCCAGTCTCTTTGCCAAAACATAGCAAGAGTCACCTTTGCTCCAGTTTCCAACAAGTTCCTCATCTCCTTGTGAGACCACCTCAGCCTGTACCTTTTTGTTCATATCACTATCAGCATTTTTGTCAAAGCCATTCAACAAATCTCTAGGAAGTTCCAAACTTTCCCAGATTTTCCTGTCTTCTTCTGAGCCCTCCAAACTGTCCCAATCTCTGCCTGTTATCCAGTTCCAAACTCGCTTCCACATTTTCATGTATGTTTTCAGCAGCACCCCATTCTACTGGTACCAATTTACTGTATTAATCCATTTTCATGCTGCTGATAAAGACATACCTGAGACTGGGCAATTTATAAAAGAAAGAGGTTTAATGGACTTACAGTTCTTCATGACTGGGGAGGCCTCACAATCATGGCAGAAGGCAAAGAGGAGCTTGTATGGCAGTGGACAAAGTCACCTCTTATATGGCAGTGGACAAAGAGAGAACTTGTGCAGGGAAACTCCCATTTTTAAAACAATCAGATTTCATGAGACTCATTCACTATAATGAGGACAGCACACGAAAGACCCACCCCCATAATTCAATCACCTCCGACCAGGTTCCTCCCAAGACATGTGGGAATTGTAGGAGTTACAATTGAGGATGAGATTTGGGTGGGGACACAGCCAAACCATATCAGCCAGCAACCTTGGAAGTTAGTTTGCTTGATCATGTGACTGGCTGCTCAAAGCTGAAAGCAAATACAAAGCCTACTAAAAATACAAAAATTGGCTGGGTGTGGTGATGTGCACCTGTAGTCCCAGTTACTTGGGATGCTGAGGCACGAGAATCACTTGAACCCAGGAGATGGAGGTTGCAATAAGCTGAGATTGTGCCACTGTGCTCCAGCCTGTGTGTTGGAGTGAGACTCTGTTTCAAAAAAAAAAAAAAAAAAAAAGCAAAGTCATGCTTATTGGTGTATGTGCCACTTTCTCAGTTTGTGTCCTCTCATCCTGCCATCCCCCCTTTACCCTGACATCAGCTGCCTCAAGGAGAAAACTAAGTGCCCTGGAGAAATTTTAAAGAAGAGGAGGGACCTGAACTTTCATGGCTTTATTGGATACGGGTTACCAGATCACCATCCTTGGTCCCATGTGGGAAGGGAAAGCTGAACCCAGGGCTTGCCAAAAGGGCTGAAGATGAAGGGGAAGAGCTACCGTAATATTTCACCTCCTTGAGCGAGGTTGCTTTCCAAATATCAGAAGCTACATGAGGGAGGAAACAACTGCAGGGTTTGGACACCAACCCTGGAGCGAGCAGCCAAAGGAGAGAAAAAGTCTACACAGTGCTCCTCATGTCCTTATCGTCCTTTTCCACTCCCAGTACTCTCTGCTCCCCAGATTTTCAGCCTGGAGATATTACAGGCATTTTGTGGCCATTGTAAGCTGTCACATACCAACACTCTGTAGATTGTCAAATTTATGAATGTACCATTTCATAATTTCTGGAAACATGTTTTCTCTTAGTACAGTTCATTAATATGGCATAAGACATGTTTACTGGCAGACTCAAATATCTTTATTTCCTCTGTAATAAGAAGAACTAAATTACTATAGCCCTTGACATGTGCCTGTGAGACACCTTGGTCCGTGTTTTAGTATAGGATCTGTATCTGAATTCAACTGCTAGATTTGAGGAAAGTTTACCAAGGGATATGATGTTAAATTGACCTTGTGGGTAAAGCCCTTGGGCTGATTTCATGTACAAAGTTTACTCTATTAAATAAACGGTTGGGTCTGGTTCTCTGATAGCTTAAGTGAAAAGCTAATGGTGTCCACTGGGTGGCAGCCACCCTCCAGCTCCAAGGACAGTCTAAAAGATTAACTGGTAAGGGCTGATCCAGCACAATGGGCTGAATTAAAAGCCATTTTCTTGGACCAGGGGTTGAGAGACTTCAGTCTGTGTGCCAAATTTGGCTACAATCTGTTTTTCTATTGCTCTTAGCTTGGGAGGATTTTTACATTTTTTAAAGCATTGGGGGAAAAAGAATACACACTTGAGACTGTATGGGGCTTGCAAAGCCAAAACTATTTACTATCTGCTCTTTTCAGAAAACAAGTTTTCTAACTCCTACCTTAGACAGTATTCCTAAGGATTAAGTTATGATATCTTTTTCCTGAGTGTTGGGCTCTTGCCAGTTACTTCACTTGGGTAGTAATAGTAGATTACAGAGACACCCCTCCATGGAGACATAAGCTATGAACTGCCATTTGGAAGGGCTGGGTCACTCATGTTGATGCCTAGAGTAAGTGCCTGTTTTTACAATTAGTCTGAATGGAATCAAGCTGCTGGTCAAGCCTGCACTTGTTAGTGCCTTTCAATCTGGAAACTTGTCTTTTTTTTTCTTCTTCTTCTTTTTGAGGCAGGGTCTTGCCCTGTCACCAGGTTGCAGTGCCGTGGTACGAGATGGTCACTATAGCCTTGACCTCCCAGTCTCAAGCAATCCTCTCTCCTTAGCCTCCCATGTAACTGGAACTACAAACACGCACCACCACACCTAATTTTATAATTTTTTTGTAGAGACAGGGTCTCACTATGTTGCCAAGGGTCTCGAACTCCTGGGCTCAAGTGATCCTCCTGCCTTGGTCTCCCAGAGTGCTAGGATTACACTCATGGGCCACCATGCCCGGCCATTGTCTTTCATTTTTGGAAAATTTTCATATATTATTTACTTGATCAGCCCCTCCCTTCTTTTTTCTTGTTTTGTTTTTCTGGAATTTCTGTTTGGATGTTAGAGTTTCTCAATTTCCCCCCCAATTTTCTTAACTTTTCTTTCCTATTGTCTGCCTTTTGTCCTACTTCTTGGTAGTTTCTTTTCCCTACCTTTGTTTTCAAACCTTCTAATACAGTTTATGTTTCATTTACATTTTTAAATTCCAAGAATTCTTCCTCCAATGCCTGTTTGTAATAATACCCTGTTCTTATGTCAAGTACACAATTTGTCAGTCTCCATCTAATAAAATCACAGTGTGGTTTTTTAAAGACTATTCTGTTTCTTGCATTGTTTATTCCCAAATCCTTTTTGTTTGTTACTGCGTTTAGTTTAATCTGTGCTATTTATGATGCAAGCTTTCTTCACATATCTTGTGATTCTTATATGCAGATTTATATTTAATAGGGAGGCAATAAATATGAGTTGGCTTTTCTATGTAATAGGACAGGCCTTATAACCCAGTGGACTTCATTGTAGGGTTATTAGGTAGGTATCCAGAGGTACTCATAAATGTCACTATCATAGGGCATTTTCTCTTGGGCTGTTTAGTTCCTTCTGAGAAAAACTTTTAACTTCCTACCTGAATGGTGTAAACTTGTCTGGCAGTGTTATTTTAGCCATGTGATGGAGAAGTCTGGGATTCTCACCATTTAGTATGTTAACTTTCAATTAATACCCCTGTTTTTCATAAGGTGCTTCTCCTCTACCATCTATTATGCTTAGATAATTATAGAGAACCAGAATCTGTTTAGCAAGGGCTGAAATTTATGTTCTATCTTATAGATAGGAAAAGTAAATGGAGCCTAAAATGCAGATATAAGTGCATAAAAGTTATTCTGTTAATTCTTTTCTCTATATTAAATATGATGTTTCTCCAAATTTTGATGTTTTATTTGAAGCCATAATAAACTTTGTTCTAAGGCATTCACATTCATTTAAGTAATTGGATTTATTTTATGAAACATTCTCATTCTGATCAAAATTTTCACCGAAGGATGAAGATTTAACAGAAGTGCTAATAGTAATATATTTGAGTTGAACTTTAGGTAACATGTTAGAAAGAAGATAACTTAATATTTTGAGGATATTTTCCATTTAAATAAAAACAGCAAGAACCAATGTATTAAATTGAATGCTGTGGTTCTAGTTATTGTTTTTTGGATGTATTTAATAATTTCTAATGTCTTTTTGGCTTAACACTGGACCTCACAGTTAGGTAATGAGGATGGAAGTAGTATATTTGCCTTTCTATGAATGCCATACCATAAGATTTTTCAGGATATTTTTGTAGTTAAGAAGATAGCATATGAGTAGAATGATAGATAATTCAATTTGAGGTACTTGTAACTGAATTGGATTCATGTCTACTGGAGATGAGATTCTCATGGAAAATCAACAGCTGATAATGTAAATGAAGAACTTTGTGATCCTACAAATTATAAAACAGTGCAGTTATCATTTAGGTTTTAGGTTTTGACTGCCAGAGATTTGCTTTATAGAGATTTGCTTTATTGAGATTTGCTTTATTGGGAATGCCTATATTTCAGTGTTAGAATTATTATAATTGACTATAGATCTTTTATATAAAATATTCTCATTTGGGGGAATAGAGGATAGATAGCAATATATGACTCTTACCTTAAAATTGGTATAAATCTAATGAATACCCATATAATTACTATTGAACTTAAGAAATAAAACATTACAGATAAAATGGAAGTCATCTGTGAATCTCTTACCTATACCATTCACCTTTATCATTCTCTTCCCAGTAGTAACCCTTATTCTGAATTTGTTGTTTTATATTCCCTGCTTGTTTCACAATTTTACTCTTTTTCTCACATCCAGAATAAATGTAGTCTTGTTTTACGTATCTTAAACTATATTTGAATAGTATCAAACTGGAACATGCTTCCCCCCGCCCCCAACATTGTTTCTCAGATACATTCGTTGATGGATCTAGTTCTTTATTTCAACTGTTGAAGAGTATTTCATTGCATGAATGTATCATAATTTATTATTAATTCCTCTATTGCTTGTTTCATAATTTTTACTCTTGTGAACAGTGCTTCAAAGAATCATGAATAGGTGAAAATTTCCTTGAGGTATGTATCTAGGTATAGAATGGCCAGCATATAGTATATAAACTTTTAAACATTTTACTAATTTTTTTGAATCGTTCTTTAAAGTAGTCCCATCAGTTTACTGTTTCATGAGAAATGTATGAGGTTTCACAAAGACTTGATATTGTTAGACTTAAAGTACTGATAATCTGATGTACGTAGATTATATTACAGTGAATTATTTTGCGTTTTTTGGTATTAGGATATTTTTAAAATGAAGAGCAAATTATTTGTTCTCTCTTTGTCTGCTTTCACTAATAATGGTGTGCTTCTAATTACCTAGTCTGTTTTCCCATTAGTTCATAGTTTTATTAAAGAAATCTCTCTTCTACCTACTGTTAGATACACCACCCCATTATATAAAGTTCATTTGGTTAGGTTTATTTTGTGCTAAGCAACTAAATAGAAAATGGAATGTTTTTATTGTCTTTTTGTGCCCTAAAAAGAGTCAGTCAGCTCTTGGTAGGGGAAAGAATTAAGCCTGTTGTCTAGGTGATAACAGTAGAATAATGCAGTGAGGGAGTGAAAAATCAGGGATCTAAGTTGCAGAAAATTCAGTTACTAACAGCAATTAATTGAATAAAGAAAATGCAAAGTTATGAAAAACACCAGTACTTTGATTATATTATCCTTGTAGAATACAGTCATTCATTGCTTAATGATGGGGATGTGTTCTGAGAAATGCATTGTTAGGCAATTTTGTCATTTACAAACATCATGAAATATGCTTACACAAACCTAGGTGGTATAGCCTACTACCCACCTAGGCTGTATGGCATAGGCTATTGCTGTCAGGCTACAAACTATACAGGATGTTACTGTACTGAATGAATATTGTAGGCAGTTATAACACAATGGCAAATATTTATATATCTAAACATAGAAAAATGCTGTAAATATGTGGTATAAAAGATAAAAAGTGATATAAGGCACTTACCATGAATGGAGCTTGCAGGACTGGAGGTTGCTTCGGGTAGGTGAGTGAGTGAATGGTGAAGGCCTAGGACTTTACCATACACCACTGTAGAGTTTTTAAACAATGTATACTTAACTACACTAATTATATTAAAAGATATTTTTCTTTCTTCAATAATAAATTTACTTTAGCTTACTTTAATTTTTTTAGTTTATAAACTTCTTGACTCTTTTGTAATAATGCTTAGCTTAAAACATAAACATATTGTACAAAAATGTTTTATTTCTGGCAGGCATGTGGCTCACAGCTGCAATCCCAGTGCTTTGGGAGGGTGAAGCAGGAAGATTGCTTAATCCCAGGAGTTTAAAACCAGCATGGGGAAGATAATTACACCTTATCTATACAAAAAAATAATTTAAAAAATGAGCCAGGTGTGTTGGTGTACCCCTATAGTCCCAGCCACTCTGGAGGCTAAGGAGGAAAGATTGCTTGAGCACAGGAGTTTCAGGTTGCAGTGAACTCTGATCTCACCACTGCACTCCATCCAGCCTGGGAGACAGAGTAAGACCCCATCTCAAAAAAAAATACATATATATATATATAAATATATATTTATATACATATATAAATATGTATATAAATATATATTTATATACATATATAAATATGTATATAAATATATATATACATATATAAATATGTATATAAATATATATTTATATACATATATAAATATGTATATAAATATAAAACACACGTGTGTGTTTCTTATCTTCAGTCTGTAAGTTTCTTTTCTATTTTATCCTTTTACTTTGTAAACTTCTTTGTTAAAAATTAAGACACAAACATTCATTAGTCTAGGCCTACACAGGGTCAGGATCATCAGTATCACTGTCTTCCACCTCCTTATCTTGTCTCACTAAATAACACCTGTGGAGCTGTCATCTTCTATGTTAACAACACCTTTTTCTGAAATACTGCCTGAAGGAACTGCCTGAGGCTGTTTTAGTGTCAACTTTTTTTTAATAAGTAGGGGTACACCCTAAAATAATGATGTAAAGCATAGTATAGTAAATGCAAAAACCAGTAACATAATCATTTATTATCATTATCAAGTGTTATGTAGTGTACATAATTGTGCTATAGTTTTTTTATATGATTGCCACTGCAGTAGGTTTGTTTATCCCAGCATCACCACAGTCATGTAGGAATGCCTTTTACTGCTACTTTATGATGGCTATGACATCACTATTTGATAGGAATTTTTCAGCTCCATTATAATGTTATGGACTCACCATCATATATGCAGTTTATTATTGACTGAAATATCATTATGCAGTGCATGACTTCAATTATACTCTATTTAATCTCCCTTCTAGGTCCTGATTTTTAAGGTAATTTGAAATCATTTTTTCTGCCTTTCTCTGTTACTATCTGAATTGCTTCCTAAGAAGATTAAATAAGAGTAAGGACTTTTTCCTGGATGTTAACCGTAACATTAGCATGTTATTTTAATTAAATTGGTTTATTAAATATAATGACATAGTTAAATATTGATGGGGGAAGGGAGTAGTCTGTATTACATCCAGAGGAGGGATGGTTCTACTGGAACTTACTGGACAGCTAGATGACAATATGAAGATCTAAGGAATGGGGAAGAGAAGAAAGGGATAAGATAAGAGATGCTGAAAGGTATTCTTAATAGACTTAAGTATTTTACTTGGGTTATGCTCTTTTCTATAATTTTCACTGGCTCATTAGAAGTAGAAAAGTTTATAAGTAGAGAATTTAATAGAAGAAAGGCAGGTAATGTTGTTGAGATGTGTGGGGTCAGATCTATCCTGAAATAAAAAGAATCTGATCACATTTCCTTAGTGATTTAAAATAGAAAAACAGGGTGATAGAAATAAATGTCAGAAGCAGAAATTGGAAGAAATAAAGAATGGCAAGTTTAATGTTGGCAATTGGTCATCAGAATCCTATTGTTGTTGTTGTTATTTTTTTTTTAAGATGGAGTCGCCCAGGCTGTGGTGCAGTGGCGCGATCTCAGCTCACTGGAAGCTCCACCTCCCTGGTTCATGCCATTCTCCTGCATCAGTCTCCTGAGTAGCTGGGACTACAGGTGCCCATCACCACACCTGGCTAATTTTTTGTATTTTTTAGTGGAAACGGAGTTTCACTGTGTTAGCCAGGATGGTCTCGATCTCCTGACCTCGTGATCCGCCTGCCTCGGCCTCCCAAAGTGCTGAGATTACAGGCGTGAGCCACTGCGCCCAGCCATCAGAATCCTATTTTAACTTATATTTGTAGATTTTCTTGTCATGCCAGTTAATTACATAGTCTGTTTCTGGTATTTCCTATGTTGACTTGATCATAGCTGTCACTAACAAATACTTTTATCTTCGACCTATTTAATGTGTTTTTTTTTTCTTACATTTTATGGAGTGTTTACATGATCCCCTCTTACTTAACTTTAGTGGACTGTCAGGATTATTGTCCCATGCCCATTTTGCCTGTAGTTTTTCTTTAATTGCAGTCGTTCTTTTTTTTTGTTTTTGTTTTTGTTTGTTTTTTTTGAGACGGAGTCTTGCTCTGTCGCCCAGGCTGGAGTGCAGTGGTGCTGTCGGCTCACTGTAACCTCCACCTCTTGGGTTCAAGCGAGTCTTCGTCCTCAGCCTCCTGAGTAGCTGGGATAACAGGCACTCACCACCATGCCTGGCTAATTTTTGTATTTTCAATAGAGACGAGGTTTCACCATGTTGGTCGGGCTGGTCTTGAACTCCTGACCTCATGATCCACCCACCTCGGCCTCCCAAAGTGCTGGGATTACAGGCATGAGCCACTGCGCCCGGCCGGCACAGTCGTCCTTTTTAACAGTGTTTATTTTAGCTCAAAACAAATGTATTTATTATTCTTGAGTTTCCTTTATTATTGCTGAATAACTTCAAGTAATTTTTGTTTTTTCCTCACTAGGTCTTTCTTTGCAAATATTACTTTTAGATAAGTTTGTATGAGTCTTAAAAAGCTCTTTCTATGTATAATTAAAACAAGATAGCACCTTTATTTTGACTATGTAAATAATTGTATCTCATAGATTCAAAGCTAGCTTGTGTTTGCAGAAGACAGTATTGCCATAGTGAAGTAATTTTAAAGTAAAATTTGACAACAACTAGACTAGGTCTGTAGGAGGATTTTTTATTGTATTAAGGCTCATACTGTGCTAAGTATAATATTTTTTATTTTTTGATGAATTATATTAGAAACTAATTTTTATTTGTAGTTCTACTTTATATATTTTCTATATTAGAGAAATTTCCCACTAAAGAATCTTCATTAACATTTTTCTGCAAGTGATTTCCGAATGTTTCTAACCCTAAACAGTTTCCTATCATTGCTTCTAAACATTTTTTTCTTTTTAAATCTTGCTATTGCTTCGAATTCAGGTTGTTTGAACTCTTTATTATCCTTCTCTTCTGCTACCTTGTTCCCAATCCAACTACCCTACCTAATTTCCTATTCGTATCATTGGTATTATTATTTTTCTGGTCAATAAAATAAATGTTTGTTGAAATTTACATTTTAATCCTGCTAGCTCTGAGATCTTTGGGAAATAATGTCTTCAAGTTTCATTATCTTGTCTATAAAGAGGGGAGAGCAATGTTTCATGACATGAGATTGGCAAAATGATTAGATTAAATGAGATAGTGTAAGTGATGCACTTGGTACAGTGCCTGTCTCTTAGCAAATGATAGTTCCCCTGTAGGTATATGGGATCAAAAGCTCATAGTTGTTTTTGACACCTTTCTTCTCTAAACCCTCTGTATTGCATTTTCCATCAAATTTTGATAATCCCAGCTTTATAATGTTCACATATATTTGATTTTATTGTATTCTCTTAGCTGAAATATTGATCCAGGCGCAGATTTGCTGTACATTAATGTAAAGGTTGACTTCCTTACAGATTTGTCTCCATACTTTCCTTTCTTACAATACATTCTTTTTTTTTTTTTTTTTTTTTTGGGATGGAGTTTTGCCCTGTCACCCAGGCAGAGTGCAGTGGTGTGCTCTCGGCTCACTGCAACCTCCTCCTCCCAGGTTCAAGTGATTCTTCTGCCTCAGCCTCCTGAGTAGCTGGGACTGCAGGTCTGCGCCACCACACCCTGCTAATTTTTGTATTTTTAGTAGAGACGGGGTTTCACCTTGTTGGCCAGGCTGGTCTCCAACTTCTGACCTCGTGATCCGCCTGCCTGGGCCTACCAAAGTGCTGGAATTACAGGTGTGAGCCACCGCACCCGGCCCCTTATAATACATTCTGCGTATTCCAGTCAGATGACTTTTTCTAACATTCCACGTTTGTTATGCCATGTATCTGCTAAGAAAGAACAACAACAAAAAAGGAATTGTTCCTTATTGTCTTACTTCACTTAGTGGAACCATCCATTCCATCCAGTTTGGTCTGCTTACTCAAAGACTATTACCATTCTTCTTTCTGTGCCCTTGCTCAGGCCAGGCCTTCTTCACAACGTCATTCGAAGTGTACAATGTTTCTTGCACTTATTTCCAATTTAATTGTGTACTGCCTTGTGTAGTTCTTATATTACTGTCTTCTGTCAATATTAAATTTAATCATATACTGTCACATCATAGTTTTGTTTTATTTTCTACTGTAATTTAACTTTCTGATTAGGCCATTTTCTTTTCTAAGGTATAAATTCTCCTATACTTCTTATCTTCTTTGAATTCATTCTGTTATTCTATGTATGTACTTCAATTTCTTATAAGAAAAACAGCACAATTTGAGTTTGAAATTTACTTTTAAAATTATAATTAATGAACATAGTACTTTATTAAGGAATCAACAAAAAGTGTTTTATTCAACTGGCAGGCAAACTTTTCTATTTCCATAAATTAGTTTTACCAAACTTCAACCTTATATAAATGGAATTTTGCATTTTACTGTATACTCTTTCTGTTTGGCTTCATTTTAGTTTTTTGAGATTTATCTATATTGTGCTGTATAAAATAAGTACTGCATTCTTTTTTATTGCTGAATAGTATTCCAGTGTATGAGGATTTTACAATTTTATACATTCTCAGTTTAAGGGACAGCTAGATTTTTAATGATTTTTTGCTGTTATTAATAGGGTTGCAGTGAATATGCCTGTACATATATTTTTGGGTACGTATGTTTTCATTTCTTTTGAATAAATACTTAAGTGTGACTTGCTGGATTGTATGGTAAGTTAAACGTCTTTGTCCAGACTGTCACAAAGGTGGTGCTGTACTCTTCCCATTGTATCCCATCAGATTGCTTATTATTTTGGGTTTCTCTCATTACTAATGATGTTTAAAGATTTAAATGTATGACTTGAGACTGTCAAACTACTAAAAGAAAACATTGCAGGATGCTTTAAGACATTGGTTTGGGAAAAGATTTAGTTTCTGGGTTTTCTTTCTGTTTTTTTTTTTTTTAATAATATCTATCTCTGTTTAATTTCTCATTCAGGTCATGAATTGTTTTCCTGGTTTTAAAATTATTTATATGTGTTCTTTTGTATCTTGTAGAGTTTCCTTAGGATCATTATTATAAACTCATTTTCAGGCATTTGACATATTTTCTTTTCTTTGGGGTCTGTTACTGGAGAATTATTGTGTTGTTTTGGAGGTGTCATGTTTCCCTGCCTTTTCATATTTCTTGTTCCCTTACATTGATATTTGCACATCTGGTGTAACTGTCACTTCTAATTTTATGGAGTAGCTTCTGTAAGGAAAGACTTTTTCCTGTAGATGTAGCTGTAATGTTTGTTGGGTAGAATGTTTTCGCATTGGTTCTCGGTGATTGCAATGGTGTAGTTTTTGTATGATACTTCACCTGTAATCAACAACTGCAGTGTCTGTGATTCCCTTAATGGCTTAGCCTGCAGTTGTTTGTGGAGATTGTGGTGAGACTTTGGTGGGGAAGGGGTCATCAGCCAGACTGATCCTCAGGCCTCTAGGTGTCACGTGGGGGCACCAACAGTGGTGGTTGTGTGTCCTGGGTGAGCCAATCTTAAGGTCCTAGGTGGGGAGCCAGTGGTAGCAGTGTCAGGCCCTTCCTGATTGGCCCTCGCATCCCTGGGCCGGGCTACACAGATTCTGGTAGTGGCACTGGTGGGTTGGTCTTCAGGTGCCCAGGCATCAGTGTGTGTTGGTGACTGGCCAGTCTGGCTGGTCCCCAGGCTCCTGGGTGAGGCGCACAGGAACCAGCTATAAGATTGCTTTTTTTAAAATTAAATATTAAGAGCCTTTCTTAAGCTGTGTGGTGTGGCTTTCTTCACTCCTGCTGCTGATTTACCACCATTGTTTATTAGATTGGGACAAGATCACTAACTACTATTAGACATGTACCCCATTTTTACTGTATATTGCTGTATAACAATGGTGGCTTAAAATAGCAAAAGTTTATTATCTCTTTCAGTTATGTAGGTGGACTGGATGTAGGTTGATAGATTTGTTTCCATCTCTGATGTGGTGTCTGCTGGATAGCTGGGGCATCTAAAATAGCCTTACTCACATGGTTAGCAGTTGGTGCTTGTTGCCAGCTAGAACTCAGCTGGAGCTGTTGACAATGTTCACATGTTCTCTTGAACATGGACTTTGTATGATTGTTTGGGCTGTCTCACTGCATGGGACCTAGATTCTAAACAGAAGTGTTATAGGTGACCAATTGGTAGCTGCAGTTTTCTTAAGACAAATCCTTAGATGTTACACTGCCACATTCCATTGGTCAAAAGAGGTCATAGAGCCAATTCAGATTTAACAGATAGGGGAAAGTCATGCTGAAAAAGAACACGTGGGATGAGATAATGTTGTGGCCCTTTTAAGAAATATAATTTACTTAATTTGAAATTTCCTGTGAAATTTTGAAACTTACTTTGAAACTTTGAAAGATTATTAGCAATTTTCCAAATAGTTTAACTTCATTATTAAGTGTATTCAAACTTCACAGAAGCCAGTATACAAAGGGAAATCCCAGATTTAAGTGATGAGTTTATATACCATTGTTTAACTGGTCCTCTGAGTGATCCTGCATGATTGATAATCCACACTACTGTCTCTCTAGACAGAAGACAGACTCAGTAAGGAAATGTTTTAAGTGGGTGTAATTCTGATATCTGCCATTACAAAAACAACGACGAAAAAGCAAATATTTCTTCTTATTTCTTATCAGCAAAAGAAAGGAATGAGGTGTACTGGAATTCCTAGCACTGTGATACTCAAAATGTCAGTTTTTAAGGCTTTTGTGTTTTAGGGAAACACTCAAAGAAAAAATTTATGTGAGTTTTCAGGCTGTTTACTTACATTCTTAAGAAAAAGTGATTTTAGGCCGGGCACGGTGGCTCACACCTGTAATCCCAGCACTTTGGGAGGCTGAGGCAGGCAGATCATAAGGTCAGGAGATCGAGACCATCCTGGCTAACACGGTGAAACTCCGTCTCTACTAAAGAAAAAAAAAGAAAAAGAAAAAGTGATTTTAGATCTTTTCAAAGATTTGTTTAATGTGTATTTGTTCATATTTTAATTTTTAAATGTAATTTCTCACTGGTAAATTTTCCTTAAAATATAAATTGCTCCCTGGATATTTGTTCATTATTTTGCAAAGTACAAAACTCCATTAGAGTTTCATTTAATAAATATTAAGTACAATATTGGGACCCCTTATTGGCTTATATAAATCATATAAACAGGTGACTGTTTATAGGATTCCTTTATTTTAGCTGCCAGTAAGAAGCCTGCCATGATTTTTTTATGTCTTTGGATTCCCCATCTTACCTGCCAGCTCTAGTATCTATTATTGGTAGCCATAAAAAATACTGACAATATAGACCAGTTTGAATTTTCTTAAATTTATCACATAGGTATACCATATCACCTAAAAAAGTTAATGTGATTACAAAGATAGCTAATTTATACTCAGTCAGCAGATTCCTTTATTTGGCTGTGTCTCCAAGATAAATTAAAAATAAAATAATAAAAATAAAAAACTATAGTTGAGTTATAATATTTTACTGACTGAAATTTAACTTCAGCCAAGCTTTAAAAAAATTACACAGTTTATATCAGTACATCTTTATTTTATGTTCTATACATGACTCCATGATAAGTGTTCAATGTGGATTTCAGAGGATCCCAAATGACACACACACATACACAATATTGTATTAAAAAGTCAGATTGGTAAGGACCCTGTAGAAATCAGGATGCTTGCAACATGGATTTCAGCAAAGTTTCTGAAAAGATAATTAACAAGCAGGCTGGTTTATAGAATATATAATAAGGCTCTAAAAACACAATTGGGTTTTAACATGGCAAGTTGATGTAGCCCAAACAGTAAATAATCTGGATAATCTATTATCTTGATTTTTAACTGTTTTGATTCAGATATTTCTTTGTAATGAAATTTTTGGCAAATTAAAATTTCACAACGCTACTCTTAGAACAGGATATAGGAATCTCCTCAGTTAACACCCGGACTCCTTTGTCAGATCTAACTGTAGTTGTAAGTATTTGCCTTGCTTACTTTGATGCTGCAGTCCTTGGTATGTATGATTTCCAAAGAATTGAAGAGTAAGTTTAATAATCTTGTCACTTTATTTAGCTTGGCTCTTCAATTCATTGGTTATTGATATTAAGATTTTGGTCTTTAGAATATAGGGTGTGATTTGACTTATAGTTAATAGGTTATACATGGCCATACTTAAATCTCTAATGATATGCCTTTGCACTTAGGATAAAATACAAAATCTTTGCAGTTATGTAACCCGGATTTTTAAATTTCAAGTTAGTTATCTTTACAAATTTTTATATCTTTCCACCTTATAATAAACATGAAACATTAATAGATTCAGGGAATGAAATCCTTTTCTTAAGAAGATAAGATTAAAATTTTATGTCATCAGAAAATATAATTTTAGGGTACTAACCAGTAAGATATAGATAAGGAATGAGACAACCTATAGATAAGCTTTACCTGCTTTATTAAGTCTAATGCATACTAGAGACTTTTTTATTCTTTGAGTTTCAGGAAGTTAAATTTGTTCCTCTGTCTCATAAGATAGTATTATAGTTTGTGAGAAAGTTCTAATTTAACAAACACTTAAAAGGACTACCATGTTTAAGGCATTTTCTTAAGTTCCAGAAATATAGTCTAGCTGAAAAATCAAAATCATGTGTATTATATATTATGAATATGTATAATACAGTGTAATGGGTAGAATAATGGGAGCATGTTTAAATACAGTGGGGAAACTGGTAAGTATGAGGTTAATTTTGTTTGTTGCTCTCTGACAAAAATCTTAGAAAGTCAGTGGCCTTTAACCCTCAGTACAACACCAAGGTCCATTGGATTCTGTTTTACTTTTGAGTTTCTGTTTTTGAGCAATTCTGAGAATTTATAAGGATTGATATTTTATGACTTTTATTATTTTCTAGGGCTCTTCCAAAGAGCAAAGAGAAAAAGTGTTTATTTCTGTACATATATATATATTTAAATTTTATATTTACCACCTGGATCTATTGGGCCTTTTTATAAATCTGTGATATATTTTTGTATCATAGTGTTCTTGTATTTCCTCCATCTTGAAACATTTTGCTGTTCTATTATTATTAGAATTATTTCATCATTACTTATCAGCTAGCTTTCTTCAACTGCCCTTAAATAGGGGGCTGAGGTGGGTGAATCACTTGAGATCGGGAGTTCGAGACCAGCCTGGCCAACATAGTGGAACCCTATCTCTACTAAAAATACAAAAATTAGCTGGGCATGGTGGCACATGCCTGTAATCTTAGCTACTCAGGAGGCTGAGGCAGAAGAATTGCTTGAACCAGGGAGGCAGATGTTGCAGTGAGCTGAGATGGCACCATTGCAATCCAGCCTGGGGGATAAGAGGGAAACACTATCTCAAAACAACAAGAACAACAACGACAACAACAACAACAAACAAACAATGAAATAAAAGGAAAATGGGAGAATGATGAAGTCATCTAGAAGAGTAGTGCAGTAGTTGAATAAATGGTCACTATTGCTTTATCCTTTAGTTTTATCAAGTTGTCCAAAATATTGCATGATCTTTCATGAATATATAAATAAAAGAAGATCAGAGACCCCATCTTTGTAGTCTCCTTTTCCAGTTGAGAATTCAGAATTTTTAATTTTTTTTTCAAACTTTTTTTTTGCTTGGGGGTAAATTTTCCCTTTAATTCTTCTTTTCCATAATGAAAAAGTTATGAAAATTGAGAAGAGACTTTAATATTTACTAGTCAAATCAGATATCAGGGCTCTAATGTTAATGGCAAAATTGGTCTTAGAAGCAGATCCTCATACTGAGTCATCAGATGACACATTCCAAGATGCATTTCTTCAGACAACTATCAATGTGTGAATAATGCATTTCTCAAAACAAAAAGCAGATAACGTATTCACATTCAGTTAGTGAAGAACAGGAAGGACCTTATCACACAGTATTTTGCAGCAAGAACCTGGACCATCTCATTTTGCTAAAAGGATAGGTAACATATTCTTTAATCTTTTATGATTTCGTGCTCAGATTCATTATATATGGTTCCTAAGTGGACAAATACTGAAGGTAAATATATATATATATATGCATAGGTGACTAGAAGGAAACAGATAATGTAGAAATGAAAAAATTATTAATTGGTAATTATAAGTGGTGTTATAAGTGTAAAAATGAAACTTTTGCAATTATCGAACAAAGAAGATGGCCATTTTCTCTTCATCAAAACTATAAGCTAAAGGTTTAAAAAAAATTCATCAGGTGTGCTGTATTTTGATGATGTCAGTTCAAGAAGAACAAGAATAATGATAAGTTAGATCCAATTAGAGATGTATTTGACATCTGGAATCAATATGTACAAGATGGATGTGTCTCTGGTTCATACATGACAATTGATGAAGCGTTAGTTGCATTTAGAAGACATTGAATACATATACATTCAAAACCAAAACTTTCTGATGAAATTTCACTGCTCCTTTATTTTTACTTCTGCAATATAAAATGACTTGAACATAAAAATAAAATTACATAGTCCATCTGACCCAGCTGGTGAATGGTGATGATTATTTTTTTTTTTGGCATTTGAAAAGTTAAGCTAGACCTTGAAGCTTATTTTAAAGTTTGGCAAATAAAAGGCAGAGGCAAGAGAATAGCTAGAAATATGTATGTGTGTACCCCCACATACACATATATATGTGTATATATGTAACATATAAACTATAGATGATATTTTATAAAATTTATATATCTAAATTGATTTATAAGTTTATACATCTACAAATTTTAACAGATATATACATATGAAATTTTGTCTGAAATTAAAGCTTGCCATTGGGAGATTTTATATGTAAATGTAAGTAGTGCTTATCGTATTTCTGTTTAGAAAGTAACTGGGTATTCATTGGAGATTAGGTTAGAGAAGATATTAAATGTAGGGATTTAATGAAGGATCACAGATGACATAGACTGGAGTAAAGGCATTTATAATAAAGAAGCTGAAACACCTAGGTGCAATGGATCATATTCTTTTGTTCATTCCTGAATTGATTTGTGTGTGAGATAATTTTTTGTGGCCTAAGAAATGGTTTTGGGCTGAGCATGGTGGCTCATGCCTGTAATCCCAGCACTTTGGGAGGCTGAGACACGCGGATCACTTGAGGTCGTGAGTTCAAGACCAGCCTGGCCAACATGGTGAAACTCCATTCCTACTAAAAATACAAAAAATTGGCTGGGCGTGGTGGCACGTGCCTGTAATCCCAGCTGTTCAGGAGGCTGAGGCAGGAGCATCACTTGAACCTTGGAGGCAAAGGTTGCAGTGAGCCAAGACTGCACCATTGCACTCCAGCCCAGGCAGCAGAATGAGACTCTGCCTCAACAAAACAACAACAAAAAAATGAAATGGTTTTGGAAGACATTTACAATAGTTTATTTCCTAGGTCACATTAAAAATGAACATGAAATGATATTAATTACTTAACAGTTTTTTTATCCTTTGGGGTTTTTTAACTATACCACTCTCTTATTGTTATACTATGAAATGTCCAAAGTGCTACTAGTACTTTTGTTTGAGGCAAATATTATTCAGAGACTAAGTTTGACCTTGAACATCACCTTGGATTTAATACAGGCTTTCAAGTAAATATTTGATTTTAGGAAAACCTATGTGTTGAGGCTTTCCTTCCAAGTAGAATGGAGTAGCTGGTAGCAAATTAGTACTTCTGCTTAGAGCAATGAGAAAATCAAGATAAAATATACATGTAACCATTCTGTATCAGAGTTGACCTTGGGGATGTATTTCAAGTCTCAGTTGTATCTGTAGTAAAGCTTATTCTTCCTCTGTTTTGTCCTAATTATATTGGTAATCACATTCAATATAAATTGACTAATTATTAAAATTGAATCACTAAGCTTGTCAGGCTGTATAAAACAAGTAAACCCCAATTATATGCTGCATTCAAGAGCCACATCTTAAATTAAATGGGAGGATGAAGCTAAAAGGATGAATAGATACACTGTCCTAACACTGAAAGGCAAACTGGTGTAGCTACTATATCCAATAAGGTAGACTATAAGATAAAGACTAAATATAGGTGGTCCATAACGTATGATGGTTCAACTTACAATTGTTTGACGTAACGGTGGTGCAAAAATGATACACATTCAGTAGAAGCTATGCTTTGAATTTTGATCTTTCTCTAGGCTAGTGATATGTAATAGAATACTCTATTGCAGTGTTGGGCAGTAGCAGCAAGCTGCAGTTTCCACTCAGCCAAGCAGTCATGAGGGTAAATAACCAACACTCTATAGTATATGAAATGTATTTTTGACTTAACAATATTTTTCACTTACAGTGGGTTTCTCAGGATATAGCCTCATTATAAAGTTAGGAGAATTTGTATAAAAGATGGATGTTTTATAATAATAAAAGGGTAATTGTATCAGGAAGTTTTCACTATCCTAAATCTGCATGCACATAGTGAGATAGTATATATAAAGCAAAAATTGATAGAAGCAAAAGAACTGGACAAATCCCCAAATATACTGGGAGAATTTATGATGCTGTCAGTAGTACCAACCATCAATAGCTGATAGAACAAGTAGATGACAAAAAAAAAAAAAGAGAGAGGTAGAGCACATTTTTACAGCAAGAGTAATAAGTGACTTAATTTACAACTATATAACATTTCACTGGAAAATATGAGAGTACACATTCTTTTGAAGTTCAGATGGAAGATTAATCAAAATTGGCCAAATAGGGGATATAGATCAATAGGTATAAAGATTTAGTGCAATTAAAATGTCAAATAGGTTTTGGGTTTTTTAAAGTAAAAAAATGACTATCTCTTCTGAAATTTGTTTAGAAATTCAAAGGATCAAGGATAATCAAGGCAATCTTAAGGAGTAACAAAATAAGTGTAAGAGAGAGTACCAATTGTCATCATTTTCTGTAACACAATACTAGAGTTATTAAAAACAGTGGTATTGATGCAAGAATAGGCTGGTGCAAGAATAGGCTAGTGTAACAGGAGAGAGTATCCAGTGTGGTAGGCAGAATAATGGCCTTCAAAGATATCCAGCCCTAATTCGTGGTACCTGTGAATATGTCACATTATAAGGCAAAAGGAACTTTGCAAATACAGTTAAGGTTACAGACAATTAAGATAGTAAAATGATCCTGGGTTTTCTGAGTGGGCCCAGTCTAATCACATGAACCCTTAAGAGCAGAGAAGTTTTTCCAGCTGAAAGCAGAATAGAGATGCAGCAGAAGGGGGAGTCATTGATTCCAAGCATGAGAAAGATTCTGTGCACTATTATTGATGAGATTTAAGGGCCTATGTAAAAGACTGGAGAGAGGCCTCTGGTTGCTAAACATAGCCTCTAGCTTAAGTCAGCAAGGAAATAGGGACATCAATCCTGTAACCAAAGGAACTGAAGGAACTGGACTGTGTGAAGTAGAATCTTTACTGAGCCTTAAGAGTACGAGCTCAGCAGGCAGACATTTTGATTTTTGTTTTTTTTTTTTTTGAAACTGGGAGTAGAAAAATTAGCTGAGCTAACCTGGATTTCTGACTTGTAAATTGTGAATAGTAAAATTGTGTTGTTTTGAGCTGCAAAGTTTGTTCTAATTTGTTACAGAAGTAAAAGAAAACTATTACTTCCAGGAACAGGTCTGCATATATGCTTCTACCTGATTTATGACTGATTTTTTTAAGTATAATGGAGAAAAGAATTTTATTTCAATTCAATATCCTTATAGAAAATATGCTTATTGACATACATAAAAATCCATTTTAGGTACATCATAGATCCAACTATGAAAGATTTAAAAAATAAAGCTTTTAGATGGAAACATGGCAGAATATCTTCGTGATCTTGGGTTAGGGAAAGATTTCTTAATAATAGGAAAAATTGATACATTGGATCACATTAAAAATAAGAACTTTAGAAATCTAAAAACTGAAAGGTAAATCATAGAATGAAAGAAGATACTTGTAATACATATATCCAACAAAGGACTCATATTCCATAACCCAATTTTAAAAATGAATAAAAGACTTGAAAAGGCACTTCACAAATAGTATATGTTCAATATGAACATGAAAAGATACTCAACATAAAAAATCATTAGGGAAATGCAAGCTAAAACCACAGCAAAATATTTCTACACACCCACCAGAGTGGCTAAGTAAAAAAGATGCCTTTTCCAAGTGTTTGTAAGGAAGTTGTATAGTTGGATATCTGATACACAAATTGGTACTACCACTTTGGGAAACTGGGAGTGTTTACTAAACCTGAACATATATGTTATCTATTACCCAGGAATTTTAGTTGTAGGTATATATCTAAAAGGAAAGTTTGCTTAAGTTTACCAAAGGACATGTGCAGGAATGTTGATACTATTTGTAATGACCTAAATTGGAAACAATCCAAATGTCTACTTATAGTAGAATGGATAACTAAATCATGGTACATTCATAGCATGGTATACTGTACAATGAGAATGAACAGCATACAATTAAATTTAAACATAGATGAATCTCATAAACTTAATGTTCTGCAGAGGCATCAGATACAAAAGGAATGCCTATGGTATGATTCATTTTTATAAAGTTCAGAAACAGACAAAATTAATATATAGTGTTAGAAGTCAGTATTTCCTTCTGTTGTGGGTAGAGCAATGACTGGGAGAAAGTATGAGGGGAGTTTTTTTTTTTTTTAATCAAAGATTTAGACACTGCTTTCAAGCTCTATATGTGTTTGAGGAATTGGTGTTTTCACTCTTTTTATTCTTTTTCTTATGTAGATAATAACTATAGTTAATTCACTGTTTTACTTCGATCAGTTTAATAATACTGATTATGTTCACGTTTATTTGAGTCTTGTACCTGTACCAACCAGGTAGATAGGAGAAGTATATGCATAATCAAAGACAGCCAACTGAGCCAGCTGAGATTTATTTACAAGTGATAGCTTAATTATTTGGGGGCTTTACATTAGTTCTTTCAATTAATCAGTTTTTTGCTTTCTTGTCTATTCATTGGAGTTTACTTCTAAAGCTACCTGTCCTTTGTTGACATTTGGATTTCTCTGTTTAATTATTTAGATTTGGGATTAGTTCTGTAAAATTCACAGAACGCCTTGGGTTACACTTGAGTTTGGGAACAAGTAATTACAAGTTATATTAAGATTGTAAATGATCTGTATACTGCAGACATCATTCTTCTCAAATTTCTCTTTAAGTATGTCTAAATTATAACATAAACCAGTGGTTTAGTATGCTTTTTTAGATACTGATGATGCTTTGTGAGACTAATTTTATTCTCTACCCACATCAGTATCTTTTCTGATTGCCTTGATGAAATTAGATAAACCTTTATCTATGCCACCCACTACCAAAGATGTTTCACTTTTCCTTCTATCCTTTTAAGGGTATTTATCACAATGTCAAAGCAGGAAAAATAGTAATAAACATAGTTATAGAAATAATAACAGCAAATGGTTATAACATGTCAATCAGTATTTAAAGCACTTTATTGACTTATTTAACATATGAAACAACTGAGAGAGGTGTGATTGTTAGCTTAATTTTAAACATGAGAAAGAAAGTCTCAGACCACAGGTTAACTAACTTGCTGAAGGTCACACATCTATTAAATGTATGTGTCAGAATTAAATCCAGATTACCTAGTCTTTGTCCTTAACCACTGTGCCAGTAAAAGACAGATAAGGAGATTTTCAAAGTTAAAATTCAGTCACTAACTAAACAAATCTGGGATTATAAGTTTTTCAAAGTTTTGAATAAGCTAATGATTATATTTAAATAGTAATAATTTTTAGGTAAATTTTTTTATAATTGCATATTTAAAATACTAATTTAAATTTTGTAGTAAGGCATGTAAATGTTGTTTGCCATACTGTTTCATGTTTGGAAGTCTGTTTATGTTTATCCTTTCTTTCCCAATATATAGGAAAAGGTAATTCATGGGCCATCCTAAAGGAGTGTGTTAGGTTGTTCTGTAGCTTTTTGTAGTAGTATATTTGTATGTAATGAAGTGCATTTTTAAATTGCACTTGTAATTTTTAATTGCTTCTTAGAAATTCCTGAATATTTAGGAACTTCATAAAAATATTCTGGAAGCAAGCATTACCTGGATAACATGGTACTTAAAAACCTTTCATTATCAAGGAAATAAAAAATAGAAAAGAATGTTGGTATGAATTATAAGAATGGAAATAATCTAACAGATATTTATCTAATTACATTTATCCAGATGAGTTTTTCTGATTTGCTTATAATACATCACAACAACATCTCAGCCTGTCTCCAGGTTGGTACATCTTTATTTAAAAATTTGGGCCAGGTGCTGTGGCTCACGTGTGTAATCCCAGCGCTTTGGGAGGCTGAGGCAGATGTATTACCTGAGGTAAGGAGTTCAAGACCAGCCTGGCCAACAAGGCGAAATCCCTCCTCAGTATACTAAAAATACAAAAAGTTAGCCAGCCGTGGTGGTGGGCACTTGCAATCCCAGCTACTTGAGAGGCTGAGGCACAAGAATTGCTTGAATCTGGGAGGCGGAGGTTGCAGTGAGCCAAGATCATGCCATTATACTCCAGCTTGGGCGACAGAGTGAGACTCCATTTCAAAAAAAAAAAAAAAGAAAATTTTTTTTAAAGTTATTTAAACTGATTTTATATGCACCATTTATTTATAACAATTTTATTTTATTTTATAATGTTTTACATTTGTGTCTCTCATTAGATACTCAGACTAACCCTATGATCTCATAGGGGAGATATAATTGTCCCATTGTTTTTACAAGGGGCCTGATGACCAGAGGTTAAAATGTATGTACAGAGTCACTCTACAAATATGCCATATAATTATCATTTGAAACCACATCTTCCGTTCTCTGATACAATGCTTTTCCCATTGCTCCAGGTCACTTCTCATATGATTTGAAAACCAACCAACCAATAACAACTTTACCTATGATTAGAATCCCATCATTTAAAGAGTGACAATTTAGTTACAAAAGATTAAAAAGAATTCAACAGCAACAAAAAAAAACTAGATTAAAATTGGGCAAGGACTTGAATACACATTTGTATTATACAAAGAAGATACTCAATGGCCAACAAGTATTTGAAAAGATGCTCAACATCTCTAATCATTAGGCAAATGCAAATCAAAACCACAGTGAGATATTACCTCACACACCTAAGAATGGCTGCTGTAAAAAAAGAAAACAAAACCAGAAGAATCCTGAAATAACAAATGTTGGTGAGGATATATAGAAATTGGAACCTTTGTGTATTGTTGGTGGGGATGTAAAATGGTACATCCATTATGAAAAACAGTATAATGGTTCCTCAAAAAGTTAAAAATAGAATTATGATTGTACAATTCCAAGAATTGAAGGTAGGGTCTCAAAGAGATACTGATATGCCCATGTTCATAGCAGCATTATGCAGAACAGCCAAAAGGTGGAAGGAATGAATAGATAAAACAATATATATATAAAATAGATAAAACAATATATATCTTGAGGGCGTTATTCTAAATGAAATAAGCCAGCAAGAAGAAGACAAATATTGTATAATTCCACTTACATGAGATATTTATTGTTGTCAAATTCATAAAAACAGAATGTAGAATGGTGGTTACCAGGGGTTCAGTGGAGTAGGAAATGGGGAGCTGTTGTTTAATGGGTATAGAGTTTCAGTTTTACAAGATGGTGTTTGGTCACACAACAGGGTAATTATATTTAACAGTACCAAACTGTATTCTTAAGAGGGATTAAGGTGGTGAATTTTATTTTGTGTGTCTTTTACCACAATTATTATTTTTAAAATTTTATTTTTACAGTGACACGGTCTCACTCTGTCACCCAGGCTGGAGTGCAATGGCTCTATCATGGCTCACTGTAGCCTTGAGCTCCCAGGCTGAAGCAATCCTCTTTCCACAGCCTCCCAAGCAACTGGGACCACAGGCACATGCCACCATACCTGGCTTTTTTTTTTTTTTTAATATTTTTTTTTAAAGTCAGGGTCTCACTATGTTGCCCAGGCTGGTCTTGAATTCCTGGTCTCAGGTCATCTTCCTGCCTTGGCCCCCCAAAGTTCTGGGATTACAGGCATAAGCCACCACACCCAGCCAAATGTTTTTTAATTTTAAAAATAAAATAAATTGTATAGGTAGAATTAAAAATACATAAATCAGATCATGCCAACCCTTTAAAGTCATCTAGTGTGCTTAAGATAAAATTTAAAATCCTTTTAAAAAAGATTTAAAAATGTATAGTAAATGCCCACATGATTCTCACAGTTAGGTGTGCTTCTTTCATTGTATTAAGGATGTATAAATTTTATAAGACTAAATATCGTGAGATATTTATTATTGAATATATAGCAATTCAAAATACAGTAGTCCCTCCTTTTCTGCAAGGGATACATTCCAAGAACCCTAGTTGATCCCTGAAATCACAGATGTTACTGAGCCCTGTATATACCTTGTTTTTTCATTTATATACATACCTATGATAAAGTTTAACTTATAAGTTAGGCACAGTATGAGATTAACAATAACTAATAATAAAATAGAATAATTATAATAATATAAGTTATGTGAATGTGTTCTCTGTCACCCTCTCTCATAATATTATATTGTACAGTACTCACCTGGTTTTAGACATCAGTTGATCATAAGTAACTGAAACTCTGTAAAGAGAAACCACACATAAGGGAGACTACTGTATTTTATGAAATATGTATGTGCATATTAAATGGAAAATGTTTTAAAAATATTCAAATGTTAAAACATTGCAAACTGATTTAAAGATCCACTCACAAAGGCAATCAGCTTGCAAATTCAAAGGAAGTTGCTATTACCTGTATTTTCTCAGTTATACCACAGTGGAGCTATTCATAATGTATCAGAAAGCTAGGCGTCACAGTTGGATATTATGTATATAAATCAGTTGATTTTTGACTCAAATAACTGAAGTGTGTTTTGGAGATAAGTTTTATGATTGGAATTGGAAATGACTGAATTTTGTGGAGCAAAGCTTTTAACTGTGTTCACTTGGAGATATTCTATAGTGCTTTGACTCTGGTTTACTACTGTGCCCAGTGGGGTAGATATTTTTTTAAAAAGACACGTATTCAGGAAAAAATTTTATTTATAAAGATTACAATATTTGCTCTTGAAAATAAGAAATAATGTTAGTCAAAGAAGCCCTGAATATTACTGTAAATCATTGTACATGTATTAGTCCTTATGGATTTCTTTGCACTAGTAAAAATATAATTATTCATTTTATTTATATAAGGTCTTTGTGCTGCTGTAAGAAAATACCACCAATGGTAATTTACAGTCAGGCACTGCATATTTCAATCAGTGGTGGACAACATGTGCAAAGGTGGTTGTAGAAGATTATAATACAGTGTATTTACTGTATTTTCTGTGTTTAGATAGGTATTTACCACTGTGTTACAGCTGCCTACAGTAACATCTTCTATAGGTTTGTAGCCTAGGATCAATAGGCTATACTATATAGCCTAGCTGTGTAGTAGGCTATACTATTTAGATTTGTGTAAGAATAGACTGTGAGGTTCACACAATGATGAGATCACCTAATGTCATATTTCTGAGAACATATCCCTGTTGTTAAGCAATGCATGACTGTATAAGAAACACTCAATAAATAATGTATGGTAGAAGGTGATTAAATACCAAAATAAATGAAAACCATTAAAGTGGGCTTAAAAACAAAGTCTCATAATTTTAGTTACTCATCACATAAAAATGCTTTAGTTGTTGCCTGTTCCCTAACAGATAAGTGAATGTTCACCTAAGGAGACTCAGGAGAAATCCCCAATACTGAGACAAACCCAGAGATTGAGGGATAACTGTTCTGATTCAGAGGGTTTTGTTTGATCTTACCCCTAAACTTTACAATGAAAGTATGTTTGGTAATACAGTTAATATAAAAATCAGGGTTGGCTGGGTGTGGTGGCTCACGCCTGTAATCCTAGCACTTTGGGAGGCCGAGGCCGGTGGATTGCCTGAGCTCAGGAGTTCGAGACCAGCCTAGGCAACATGGTGAAACCCTGTGTCTACTAAAATACAATCGAAATTAGCAGGGCGTGGTGGCGTGCGCCTGTAGTCCCAGCTACTCGGGAGGATGAGGCAGGAGAATCGCTTGAACCTGGGAGGTGGAGGTTGCAGTGAGCCAAGATCACGCCACTGCACTCCAACCTGAGCAACAGAGTGAGACTCCATCTCTTAAAAAAAAAAACAAAAACAAGCAGGGGTCCCCGACCCCCGGACCATGGACCAGTAGCAGTCCGTGACCTGTTGAGAACTGGGCTGCACAGCAAGAGGTGAGCAGCAGATGAGCAAGTGAAGCTTCATCTGTATTTACAGCCACTCCCCACTGCTCACATTAGCACCTGAGCCCTGCCTTCTGTTAGATCAGAGGCAGCATTAGATTCTTATTGGAGTGTGAACCCTATTGTGAACTACACATGTGAGAGATCTAGGTTGTGCACTCCTTATGAGAATGTAATGCCTGATGATCTGAAGTGGAGCTGAGGCAATGATGCTAGCGCTGGGGAACAGCTGCAAATACAGATTAACATTAGCAGAGAGGTTTGACTGCACAGAGACCATAGTAAATCAATTACTTGCAGACTCATTTCAAAACCCAATCAGTGAGTGGCAGGTGGCAAGCTGCATCTGACGTCAAGCTTTATAGTGGCAAGTGAGGTGATGTACTTCAATTGTACAGCTGCATCTGGTGGTAACGCTTTAAGTCAGAATCCAGCACTTCTTTTAATTCATGAGTGGCCTGCTTATTATTTTATTTACCACTTTCATCTGCTTCTCTTTCCTGCATTACACACTTTTCTTAGTCAGAGTTTTGGTAAACCCACCAGCTAACCCTACCCAAAATAAGTAAAAGCCAAACATCACTGGAGAGCTTCTTTGAAAAGGGAGACAGACCCAATGATGAGATAGCAGAAGACTCTAAGACTGCCAACCAAAAAAAAAAAAAAGCTGCATTTAAAAGAAAATACCGAGAGTCTTACATAAGTTATGGGTTCATTGCAGTAGGTGATTTCACATTCTCAGAGCCTGCTTTGTGTAATATGTGGTGACTGGCTGTCCAAAGCCATGAAACCTTCAAAACTGCTTCACCACATGGAGACTACACGCCCTGCATTAGAAGACAAGCCTTTGGAGTTTTTCAAAAGAAAAGAACATGAACATAAAGAACAGAAGCAATTACTAAAGGCCACTATTTCATCAAATGTGTCTCCACTGAGACCATCATTCTTAGTGGCTAACCACATTGCTAAAGCTAAGGAGCCCTTTACATGAAGAGTTGATCCTGCCTGCTGCTAAGGACATATTTCATGAACTTTTAGGAGAGGCTGCAATTCAAAAGGTGGCATATCTTCCCCTTTGAGCTAGCACCCTAACTAGACGAATCAATGAAATAGCAGAGTACATGGAGGCACAACTGTTAGAGAGGATTAATGAATCACTGTGGTATGCAATCCAGGTTGATGGGTCTACCAGTGTTGACAACAAGGGAACAATGCTTGTTTTTGTATGATGTATTTTTCAGGAGGATATACATGAGGAAATGTTTTGTGTGCTTTTGTTGCCAACCAGCACCACAGCTGCAGAACTATTCAAGTCTTTGAATGATTACATATCAGGAAAACGAAACTGGTCATTTTCTGTCAGCATATGCACAGATGGAGCAGCTACCATTACTTGACAGCTTTTTGGTTTCACTACTTGGGTCAAAGAGGTCGCTTCTGAATGTGAGCCTACACACCCTGTTATCCTTAGAGAAATGCTGGCTAGCCAAAAAATGTCACCTGAACTTAACAGCATTTTACAGGATGTGATTAAAATTATCAACCACATTAAAATACATGCCCTTAACTCACATCTGTTTGCGCAGCTCTGTGAGGAGATGGACACAGAGCACACACATCTTCTCTAATACACAGGAGTGAGATGGTTTTCTAAAGGTAGATCACTGGCCAGAGTTTGAGTTACAAGAGCCGCTTCAGAGATTTCTTTTAGGAGAATAGTTCTTTTCTTTTAGAAAAACAATCACCACTGGCAGCACATTTCAGTGACACAGAAAGGGTCCCAAAACTTGCTTACTTGTGTGACCTATTCAACCTGCACAGAGAACTCGATCTGTCGCTTCAGGGGAGAACAACAAGTGTGTTCAAGTCGGCAGATAAAATGGCTCCATTCAAAACCAAACTGGAATTATGGGGGTGATGAAGGAACATTGGGATTTCTGACATGTTTCAAGCATTAGCAGAGATTTTGAGAGACTGAGCCAGGGCTGCCTTTCTCTCAGCTAGTGTATGATCACCTATCTCGGCTTTCAAAAGAGTTGAGTATTACCTCCCAACCACAAAAGACCCCCGAACTGGAAGGAATGGATTTGTGACCCATTCCTGAATAAGTCAGGTGAATTGCCTTTGTCCTTGCTAGAAGAGGATCCACTGCTTGACTTCAAATTATGGTGGCCTTAAAAGTATGTTTGAGACAACTTCAAATCTCCATATGTTCTAGACTAAAGTCAAGGCGGAATATCCTGAGATTGCCACAAAAGCACTAAAAAGCCTGCTTCCATTGCCAACATCCTGTCTTTGTGAAGCAGGGTTTCCTGCAGTGACAGCAACCAAAATGAGATTATGGAGCAGACTGAATATAAGCAACACATTTTGGGCGTCACTATCTCCCATCACCCCGAGATGGGACCATCTAGTTGCAGGAAAACAAGCTCAGGGCTCTCACTGATTCAACATTATGGTGAGTTGTATAATTATTTCATAATATATTACAATGTAATAATAGAAATAAAGTACACAATAAATATAATGTGCTTGAATCATCCTGAAACCACTTCCCCACCCCCAGTTCACGGAAACATTGTCTTCCATGAAACTAGTCCCTGGCGCCAAAAAGGTTGGGGAATGCTGAAAAATGAAATCCATCTTTCTTTGCATTCTTTCAAAAGATTGAGTCTTTCAGAATATAGAGGGGGGCCTATAATGGGATATATTCATTAACTCATGCAACAAATATTTATTAAACACCTATCATATGCCAAACATTGTGGTTACCAGGGAGATAGAGTGATAAACAATATAGACATTTGCAAAATATTCACTTCATTCCCCTATTGATAAGCATTGATGCATCCTGTGTCATATAGAAAAGGAGGAAAATTATTATTCGGTAATATTATAGAACTTAATGCAATTTAAGCAAATGCGTGTATACAAATGTGTATATTTTGTATATATTTGATATAATATACCATATATATATAATATCATTCTATGTAACCTACCACATGTTCAGAATCTGCTGCAGAGATTTTTTCTGTGACACAAAGAAACATTAAATGCTTATGCTTCTTTTGTTTTTTGTGGGTTTTTTTTTCTGTTTTTAAACTAGGGATTTGGTTATCCTGCAAATTATGAATTTACTTTTGTTTTAATATTCTAAAGCTATACATTAATATTATTTGCCACATATTGGCTGAGAGCTATTGAATCCTTTATAGTGTAACATTCTTGGCCTAACAGTCTGCATTTCCCAGGCTGCCAGCAAAGCAATTCGGTGGGGCAATTGTGGTCATGCAGGGGCCTTGTGAGCGGTTGGCAGAGAGAGAAGCATACAGATCAGACAGACTCCTATCCTGCAGGAAAGGTAGCCCTCCTTTCTCCCATCCCAGCAGTCAGCAGGAGGTAGAGCCGCTCAGAGCTATATGAAGAGCCTTTGGGAATAGGTGCCTATGGTTATGTTTTGCTGCAGCTGCCCTATATTCACAACCTCCTGCATTCCATGCAGGCTTGACCTCTGCCTCTGCCTATTCTCTGGGCAGTTCTCCCTGTCAATTCAGCTGTCTGGGGGTCATGGGATCCCAGAGGTAGCTAGGATGCCAGTGTGTTTCTCTGCAGTTCCTTCACTTACACCTTTCTTAGGAACTGTTGAGGGCTGGGAGCTGGTCCTGGTACTCGGCAATGTTTTGCAGTGTTCCCAGCATCCTCCCTCTTCTACCTCAGTGTCAGTAGTACCTTTCTATCAACTTTCAGTGTTTTCTTTAAAAAGAAAGTGTGATGGTTTACTGGATATTTTGGGTTCAGTGAAGTGGGAGAGGCACTTTCTGGCTGCATTTAGTCAGCCATCCTGCTCCATAGTCATTGGAATTATCTTTCTAAATTTTATTTTCTGATTGTTGTTCCTGGTATATAAAATTATAATTGATTTTTTAATTAAACTTTTTAGATAGTTGTAGAATTACATGTGGTTAAAATATTTTCTAAAGAGAGATCCTCTGTACCCTCTATCCAGTTTCCTCAAATGGTAATATTTAGCAAAACAGTACAGTGTCACAATCAGGAGTTTGACACTGACCCAGTGAAGATAAAGGACATTTTCATCAACACAAGGATCCCTCAATTTGCCTATTTGTAAAATACCCACTTCCCTTTCCCCATCTCCCACCTGAACTCCTTGTAAACACTAATTTGTTCTCCATTTCTATAATATTGTTAAATCAAGAAACTTATATAAGTGGAATCACACCACATGTAATCTTTTGGGGTTGTGTACTTTCTATTAGCATAATTATCTAGATATTTATCCATACTGTATATCAGGCGTTGGCCACATTGTATGACAGAGAAGTATTCCATGGTATGGATGTGCCACAGTCTAACATTCACTGATTAAGGGAAATCTAGGTTGCTTTCAATTGTGGGTAAATACAAAACTACTGTAACCCCCTATACAGGTTTTGGGTATTAACACAGTTTTCTTTTCTCTGGGATAAATGTCCAGGGGTGCAATAGCAGAGTTGGCATGGTAATTGCCTATTTAATTCTTAAAATAACTGCTAAAATGTATGCAGAATGACTGTAAAATTGTGCATTCCAACCAGTGAACTATGAATGATCCAATTCTTTCCATCTTCACCAGCATTTTTTAGTCACTATTTTAAAAAATGTAGCTATTGTTATAGATGTGTGATGATATCTCATTACATTTTTTTGTTTGTTTTTGTTTTTTTGAGACAGTCTTGCTCTGTCACCCAGGCTGGAGTGCAGTGGCACGTGTGACTCAGTCTCCCAAGTAGCTGGGATTACAGATGTGCGCCACCATGCCCAGCTAATTTTCATATTTTAAGTAGAGGTGAGGTTTCAGCATCTATGGTCTCGAACCCCTGGCCTCAAGTGATCCGCCTGCCTCAGCCTCCCAAAGTGCTGGAATTACAGGTGTGAGCCACCACGCCTGTTCTTATTATGATTTTAATTTACATTTTCCTAATGCCTAAGATGTTGAATGTATTTTCCATCTGCAAATCCTCTTGAATGAAATGTCTCTTTATACCTTTTGCTCATTTTCTGCTTTTTTTGTTATTGTCATGTTCGAGGGTTCTTTATATTGTCTGCATGCCAGTGTTTTCTTGGATACATTGTTTGCAAAATGTTCTTGTTTCGTAGCCTCTTCTTTCACTTTCTTACCAGGGTTTTTCACACGGTGAAAGTTTTAAATTTTGATAAAGTACAGTTTATCTATACTTCCTTTTATGGATGGTGCTTTTTGTGTCAAGTATAAAAATTCCTTGTCTAGCACTACTCCAGAAGATTTTCTCCTATTTTTCCTAAAACTTTTATAGTTTTACACTTCATATTTAAGTACAATGTCCATTTTGAGTTATTTTTTATGTAAGGCATGAGATAGGTCGAGGTTTTTGCCTATGGATATGCACTTGCTCCAGCACCATTTGTTGAGTTGCTTTTTTACTTATGTGTAAAATCGGTTGGGCATATTTGTGTGGGGTCTATTCCTGGTTTCTCTATTCTGTTTCACTGATTTATATGTTTATCTTTCTGGCTAATACCACACAGTCTTTATTATTATATCTGTATATGTCTTGACATTGAGAAGACTGATACCTCACACTTAATTCTTTTTCAAAATTGTTTTAGCTATTATAATTCCTTTGCCTTTCCATGTAAGTTGTAGAATAATATTGTCTATGTATACTAAAAATACTCACTGTAATTTTGATTGGTAACAAGCTAAGCTTTTGTTATTAATTTGGGGAGAATTAATATTTTTAAATGTTGAGTCTAACAATCTGTTATTCTGTATATTTATTTATTAGATCTTTGATACCTTTCACCAACATTTTGTAGTTTTCAGCACGCAAGCCCTACAACGTTTTGTAGATGTACACCTACCTATTTCATTTTTTTTAAGCAATGATAAGTGGCATTATATTTTAATTTAAAGATTCATGTGTCCATGGCTAATATATACAAATGTAATTGATTTTCATATATCAGTCTTGTATCTTGTGGCCTTGAAGAACTCCCTTATTCTAGGAGTTTTTTCTAGGTTCCTTGGGATTTTCTATGTTGACAAATGTGCCATTTGCAAATAGGGACAGTTTATCTCCTTCTTTCCAGTCTGTTTGCTTCTTATTTCCTTTTATTGCCTTACTGCACTTGCTAAATATTATTTACTTCATTGAATAAGAGTAGTGAGAGCATATATCTTTTTTTTTTTGTTCCTGGTCTTTGGGGAAAGCATTCAGTCTTTTTATCATTAAGAATGATGTTAGTAGATTTTTAAACAATGCTATTTTTTACCAAGTTGAGGAATTTCCTTTTTCTTCTCATCTTTTTGAGAATTTTTATCATGAATTGGTTGAATTTTGTGAAATGCTTTCCCGCATTGATTCTATAATCATGTGATTGTGTTTCTTCAAACTGTTAATATGATGTTTTACATTGATTGATTTTTGAATATTGAACCAGCCTTGCATACATGGAATAAGCACCATTTAGTCACGATATATAGTTCTTTTTATATGTAATTCTGAATTCTTTTACTAATATTTTGTTAAGGATCTTTTGGATATATATTCACATGAGAAATATTTGTCTTTGGGTTTTGTTTTATTATACTGTCTTTGTTTGCTTTTTGCATCTGCGTAATATTCCCTTCATAATATCCATTTGGATATTCCCTCCTTTGATTTTCTGATAGAGATGGTTTAGAATTGGTGTAAATTTTGTGAGTATTTGTTTGGATTTTCCAGTGAAAGAATTATTGCCTAGACAGTTTTTGGAGGAGTTTTAAAATACAAATCCAATGATCTTAATAGTTGTAGGTCTATTCAAATTACTGATTTCACATTGGGTGAGTATTTGGTAGCCTGTTGTTCTTTTGAGGAATTGCCTGTGTCTCTTAGGTTAACAAACTGATGTGTGTAGAGTGGTTTGTAGTATTTCCTTACTATCCTTTTGATTCCTACAGAGTCGGTAGTGATATCTCTCCTGTTTCTTTCGTGATGTGGGAATAGGTGTACTTTATTTTATTGGGCTTTACATTTTGACTCTGCTCAAAGATTGTGCTTTTTACATATCAAAGGTTTATGGCAATCCTGCATCAAGCGAGTCTGTCAGTGCCATTTTTTCAACAGCATGTTTTCATTTTGTCTCTGTGTCACATTTTGGTAATTCTCACAATATTTTAAACTTTTTAATAATGACTGTATCTATGATGGTGATCTCTGATCAGTGATGTTTGATGTTACTCATACAATTGTTTTGGCTTACCATGAACCACATCCATAGAACATGGTGAACTTAATCAATAAATGTTGTGTGTGTTCTGTTTGTTCCACTTAATGACCATTTCCCCATCTCTTTCTCTCTCCATGGGTTTTCTTATTCACTGAGACACATCAATACTGAAATTAGGCCAAATAATTACCCTACAGTGCCCTTTAAGTGTTAAAGTGAAAGGAAGAGCTACATATCTCTCACTTTAAGTGAAAAGCTAAAAGTGAGCAAATTTACTGAGAAAGGCATGTCACAAGCCAAAACAGGTCAAAAGCTAGGCCTCTCGCACCAAACACTTAGCCAAGGTGTGAATGGAAACTAAAAGTTTTTGAAAAAAGGTAAAAGTGCTGTTTCAGATAACACATGAATGATAAGAAAGTAAAACAGCTTAATTGCTAATAAAGAGATAATTTTAGCAGTCTGGCTAGATTGGACTAGCCACAAAATTTTCTTCAGCCAAAACCTAATCCAGGGCAAGGCCCGAATTCTCTTCAGCCCTACAAAGGCTAAGTGAGGTGCAGAAGTTGCACAAGAAAAGTTGGAAGCTAGCAGAGGTTGCTTCCTGAGGTTTGAGGAAATAAGTCATCTCTGTAACATAAAAGTACAAGGTAAAGCTGCAAGTGGTGATTTAAAAGTTGCAGCAAGTCATCCATAATCTAGCTAAAATCATTGATGAATCTTTAGTGGCTACACTCAACAACAGGTTATCAATATAGATGAAATAGCCTTCTGCTGTAAGAAGATGCCATCTAAGACTTTCATAGCTAGAGATAAGATATCAATGCCTGGCTTCAAAGCTTAGGCTGACTCATGAGTTAGTGGCTAATGCAGCTGGTAACTTTAAATTGAAGCCATTGCTCATTTACCATTTTGTAAATCATAGGTCCCTTAAGAATTATGCTGAATTTACTCTTCCTATGCTCTATAAATGAAACAACAAAGCTAAATCACAATACATCTGTTTACAGCATGATTTACTAAATACTTTAAGTCCACTGTTGAGACCTACTGCTCAGAAAAATAGATTAAAAAAAATACTGCTGCTCACTGACAGTGCCCCTCGTCAGCCAAGAGCTCTGATGAAAATGTACAAAGAGAATAATGTTGTTTTCATGGCTGCTAACACAACATCCATTCTGCAGCCTATGGATTAGGGAGTAATTTTGAGTTTCAAGTCTTATTATTTAAGAAATACATTTTGTCAGGCTATAGCTGCCATAGATAGGGATTGCTGTGATAGACCTGGGCAAAGTAATTTGAAAACATTTTGGAAAGGCTCACCATTCTAGATGCCATTCATAACATTAATGATTCATGGAGGGAGTTCAAAATACCAGCATTAATAAAACTTTAGAAATTGATTCGACCCTTTATGGATCAGTTCGAGGGGTTTATGACTTCATTGGTGGAAAGTAGCTGCAGATGTGGTAAAAATAGCAAGAGAAATAGAATTAGAAGGAGAGCCGGAAGATGTGACTGAATTTCTGCAATCTCATGATAAAATTTTCACAGATGAGGAGCTTTTTCTTATGGATAATCAAAGAAAGGTGTTCCTTGAGGTGGAATCTACTCCTGGTGAAGATGCTGTGAATATTATTGGAATGACAAAAAAGGATTTAGAATATGACATAAACTTACTTGATAAAACAGTGGCAGGATCTGTGAGGATTGACTCTTCCAATTTTGAAAAAAATTCTGTGAATAAAATGCTATTAAATAGCATTACATGGTACAGAGAAGTATTTTGTCAAAGGAAGAGTCAACCTGTGGGGCAACTTCATTGTTATCTTTCTGTTGCAACCACCACCATGATGAGTTAGCAGCCATCAGCATCAAAGTAGGACCCTCCACTAACAAAAACTTTACATCTCATTGAAGGGTTAGATGGTCATTAGCATTTTTTGCAATAAGATCTTTTAAAATCAAGGTATGTACATTTTGAAAACGTAATCCTATTGTACATTTAATAAACTGTAGTATAGCATAAACATAACTTTATATATGCACTGGAAAACCAAAAAGTTGTGAGACTTATTTTGTCATAATATTCATTGTATTGTGGTGGCCTAGTACTGAACATGCAGTACCTCCAAGGTGTGCTTGTAATTTGTTTCTTTTCTGTTTTTCTCTTTGTCAGTCTTAGAGGCAGCTTTTTTTTTTTAAGATCCAGCTTTTTGTTTCATTGTTTTATTATTTTGCTGTTTTTAATGTTATTGGTTTGTGCTCTTTATTATTTCCTTCTTTCTGCTTGATTTAGTTTTATTATGCTTGTCAATTTCTAGATTTTATGCTTATATTATTGATTTGAGACTTTTACTGTTTTCAAAAAAATGCACTTATTGCTATATTGTCCGTATAGCACTACTTTTCCTCTATTCCAAAATTTTTGATATATCTTATTTTCATATTTTTTTTCAGTTTACAGAGTGTGTGTGTGTGTTTGTGTGCACGCGTTTAATTTCTCTTGAGATGTGCTTTTTGTTTCATGGATTATTTAGAAGTCTCTTGTTTAGATTTCAAATCTGTGCCTTGTCTGGTATGTTTCTGTTGTTTCCATTCTGGTCAAATAATATTTTGGGTATTATTTCAATTATTTTACAATAATTGATTTTTCTTTTAAGATACAGAACATGGTCTATATTGAAATAAGTTCTGCAGGCATGTATTTGCTGGTTTTGACTAGAGTGTTCTTTAAATGTCAGTTATGTCCTGGTGGTTGATACTGTTGAGTTCTTCTGTATCTTTGTTGATTATATAACTAGTTCTTTCTAATTTTGTGAGGCTTCTTGATGTCTCCAACTATGTTTATGTCTTTTCTTTCATTTTTTCAGGTATATCAGTTTTGCATCACATGTTTTGCAGCTTTGTTGTTTGTTATATACACCTTTAGGATTGTTTTGTCTTCCCGATGGATTAATTTTTTTATCATTATGTATTGTGCCTCTCTGTCTCTGGTAATTTCTTTTCTTTTGAAGCCTACTTTACCTGGTATTAATACAGCCACTCCTGCTTTCTTATGTCTACTTGGTAGATCTTTTTCCATGTTTTTATAGTCAACATTCTTGTATCTTTATATTTTTAGTGAGTTTCAGATGGAGAGCATATTTTTGAGTCTGCCTTTAAATTCACTCTGCTAATCTCTTTCAGTTGGTGTATTTACACCATTTACATTTATATAATTAATTATCTGTAGGAGCTTAAGTCTCCCACTGTATTTCTTGTATTTTGTTTGTTCTCACTTGTTTCTCTTTTTCCTTTTTCCTTTCTTCTTGGGAGTTATTTGAATATTTTTAGGAGTTTCATTTTTATTTATAAATATTTTTAATGATATCTCTTTTCTAGTGGTTGTTTATTGGTTACTCTAGTGTATGTGTGTGTGTGTGTATAAAATTTTATCAATTTTATCAATTCATGTGAAGTGTAGGAAACTTAAATTTATATCTCATTACCCTCTCAATACAATTGCCTGAAATATTTCTTGTACGTACATATAGACTCACATTAGACAGTGAGTCTGTGAGAGTCTATAATAGTTTCCTGAAATATTTTGTACATACATATAGACTCACATTAGACAATGTTACAGTTTTTGCTTCAGCATTCAAACATAAAAGCCCAAGATGAGAATTTTGTCTGTTGTATTTACCCATATATTTGCCTACTATTATAATGTTTTTCTTCCTGATGTTCCAAGAGTTCTTATTTTTTTGCTTACTTTATGTTTAGAAATCTTTCATTGACCATTATATTAGGGTTGGTATGCTGGTAAAAAGTTTTCTTAGTTTTTCTTCATCAAAGAATGTCGTAATTTTTTTTTTCATGTCTGAAGAGTATTTTTACTGGATATAGGATGTGGGTTCACAGTTCTTTTATTTAAGCACTTCAAAAAGTACTTCCAGTGGGGCGCCAAGATGGCCAACTAAAAGCAGCTATGGTGTGTGGCTCTTACAGAGAGGAACGAAAGGGACGAGTAAATGCAGCACCTTTAACTGAAACATCCAGGTACTTGCATTGGGACTGATCAGGGAAACAACTCAACCCACAGAGAATGGAGAAGAGCAGGACAGGGCAGGGCAGGGCAACAGCTTACCTGGGAGCAACATGGATACAAGAGAACCTACCCCTGCCCAGGGAAGCAGTGAGTGAATATGTGACCCTGGGAAACCATGCCCCTCCCACAGATCTTTACAAGTCCGGTCAGGAGATCCCCTTGTGAATCCATTCCACCAGGGCCTTCGGTCTGACACACAGAACTGTGTATAGTCTCAACAGAAAAGCTGCTCAGGCATGCATGGAGACCCGGGAACTTTACATACTCTGGCTCTAGTATCCCTAACAAAGGTGATTGCAACTTAGGCAGGGCGGGAGCTTGGACATCCATATTTACCCCTAGGAAGGGATCTGAATCCAGGGGGCTAAGAAGCATTGATCTGTGGGCCCCATTTCCACAGCTTCTCACAGGATAAGACCCACTGGCTTGGAATTTCAGCCAGCCCCCAGCAACAGAGTTGTACCTACCTGGGACAAAACAGAGTTGCTGGCGGGAGGGGCAGACTACCATCTTTGCTGCTTGGATAACTCAGCCATTCCAGCCTGTGGGCTTAGGCGAGTCCAAACCAACTGGGCATGGAAGGGATCACCTAGCACAGCAAAGCTGCTCTACCAAAATGTGGCCAGACTGCTTCTTTAAGAGGGACCCTCAATCCAAATCCTCTTCTTGGGTGTTACCTCCCAACTGACAGAGTTTTGATTTCTCTTTGGGACTGAGTGCCTGCGGGGAGGGGCAGGCTACCATCTCTGCTGTTTGGACAGCTCAACCTTTCCAGCCTGTGGGCTTTGGAGAGTCCAAACCGACCAGGGCAGAAGGGATCCCCCAACACAACACAGCTGCTCTAATACAACATGGCCGACTACTTCTTTAAGCAGAACCCTGATCCGTTCTTCATCTCTGAGCAGGACCTCCCGACTGGACCCTCCAGCCACCCTCACTTGTATTCTCTGGTTCACAATGTTTTGATTTCACCCTGGGACTGAGTTCGAGGGGGAGGTGGGCGGGCGCCATCGTTGCTGTTTGGGCAACTCAGCATTCTGTCCTGTGGGCTTTGGAGAGCCCACGCCCACCAGGGCAGAAGCAGTACCCCAGCACGGCACAGCTGCTCTATGAAACCATGGCCATCCTGCTTCCTTAAGCAGTCCCCGATCTATTCCTCCTTGCAGGGCGGGACTTCCCAACTGTGTCCTCCAGTCACTCCCATGGATGTTCTGTGGCTAAGAGGTTTGAAAACTTCCTGGGACAGAGCTCCTAGAGGGAGGAGTGGGCTGCCATTTTTTCTGTCTCAGCAACTTCCGTAGTTTACAGACTTTGGAGAGCCCAAGCTAACTAGGGGCAGAAGTGGTACACCCACACAGCACAGCTGCTTTATAAAAGTGTGGCTAGACTGCTTCTTTAAGCAGATCCCTGATCCCACTCTTCCTGACTGGGTGACACCTCCCAACCAGTGTCTCCAGCCACCACCTACCACCTGGTTGTTTGGGCCAGCAACCAGGTCTGTACCCCTCTGGGACAGAGCTCCCAGAGGAAGGGGCAGGCTGCCATCTTTGCAGTTTTGCAGCCTTCACTGGTGATACCCTCAGGTACTGGAAAACCTAAGGCGACTAGGGACTAGAGCAGATGCCCAGCAAACCACAGCAGCCCTGTGAAAAGTGGCCAGACTGTAAAAAGGAAAAAAAAAAAATCCAAAGATCAGCCTCAAAGATTGAAGGTAGATGTGCCCACAAAGATAAAGAATCAGCACAAGAACGCTGAAAACTCAAAAAGCCACAGTGCCCTCTTCTGTTCAGATGACCACATCACCTCTCCAGCAAGGGTTTGGAATTGGGCAGAGGCTGAGATGGCCGAAATGACAGAAGTAGACTTCGGAATGTGGATAAAATTGATGTTCATTCTGCTACAGCTGCACCTTCTAACTCAATGCAGGAAGCTACAGATCATGATAAAACATTTCAGCAACTGACAAGGTAAAATAGCCAGTATGGAGAATAACGTAAGCAACCTGATAGCGCTGAAGAAAACAACAGAAGAAGTTCATAATGTAATTCCAAGTATTAATAGCAGAATAGACCAAGTGGAGGAAAGAATCCCAGAGCTTGAAGACTGTCTTTCTGAAATAAGACAGGCATACAGGAATAGAGAAAAAAGAATGAAAAAGAATGGACAAAACCTCTGAGAAATATGAGATTATGTAAAGAGACTGAATATATGACTGATTGGTGTACCTGAAAGAGATGAGAAGAATGGAACCAACTTGGAAAATATATTTCAGGATATCTTCCATGAGGACTTCCCCAACCTAGCTAGACAGACCAACATTCGATTTCAGGAAATGGGAGAACCCCTGTAAAATATTCCACAAGAAGATCATCCCCAAGACACATAATCATCAGATTCTCCAAGGTCAAAATGAAAGAAAAAATGTTAAGGACAGCCAGAGAGAAAGGCCAGGCAACCTACAAAGGGAAGACCATCTGACTAACAGCAGACCTCTCAGCGGAAACCCTACATGTCAGAAGAGATTGGAGGCCAATATTCAACATGCTGAAAAAAGAAAAATTCCAGCCCAGAATTTCATATGTGCCCAATCTAAGCTTCATAAGCAAAGGAGAAATAAGATACTTTCCAGACAAGCAAATGTTGAGGAAATTTGTTACCACCACACCTGCCTTACAATAGCTCCCAAAAGAAGCACTAAATATGGAAAGGAAAAATCGTTACCAGCCACTACAAAAGCACACTGGAGTACACAGACAAATGACACTATAAAGTAACCACAAGTTATTTTAAACAAGTCTCCAAAATAACCAGCTAACATCATAATGACAGGATCAAATCTGCACATAACAATACTAACCTCAAATGAAAATGGGATAAATGCCCCAATTAAAAGACACAGAGTGGCCAGCTGGATAAAGAAACAAGACCCAATGGTCTGCTGTCTTCAAGAGACCCATCTCATGTGGAATGACACACATAGGCTCAAAAAAGGATGGAGGAAAATTTACAAAGCAAATGGAAAACAGAAAAAAGCAGGGGTTGCAATCCTGTTCTGACAAAACAGACTTTAACCAACAAAGATCAATAAAGACAAAGAAGAAGGGCATTACATAATGGTAAAGGGTTCAATTCAACAAGAAGAACTAGCTATCGTAAATATATATGCACCCAACACTGGAGCACCCAGATTCATAAACCAAGTTATTAGAGACCTTCAAAGAGACTTAGACTCCCACACAATAATAGTGGGAGACTTTAACACCGCACTGACAATATTAGACAGACTGAGACAGAAAATTAACAAAGATATTCAGGATCTGAACTCAGATCTGGATTAAATGGACCTGATATATATCTACAGAACTCTCCACTCAAAAACAACAGACTATACATTCTTCTCATCACCATGTGGCACTTACTCTAAAAAAGATCACATAATCGGAAGTAAAACACTGCTCAGCTCAGCAAATACAAAAGAACTGAAATCATAACCAACAGTCTCTTGGACCAGAGCACAATCAAATTAGAACTAAAGTCTGAAGAAATTCACTCAAAACCACACGATTGCATGAAAATTAAATAACCTGCCCCTGAATGACTTTTGGGTAAATAATGAAATTAAGATGGAAATCAAGTTCTTTCAAACTAATAAGGACAAAGATACAATGTACCAGATTCTCAGGGACACAGCTAAAGTAGTGTTAAGAAGGAAATCTATAGCAGTAAATGCCCACATCAGAAAGCTAGCAAGATCTCAAGTTAACAACCTAATGTCACAATGAAAAGAACTAGAAAATCAAAATCAAACAAATCCCAAAGCTAGAAGAAGACAAGAAATAACCAGAATCAGAGCTGAACTGAAGGAGGTAGAGACAAGAAAAGCCATTAAAAACATCAGTAAATCCAGGAGTTGTTTTTTTGAAAAGATTAATAAAATAGGCCACTAGATAGACTCATGAAGAGAGAATCAAATAAACACAATCAGAAATGATAAGGTGGATATTACGATTGTCCCCACAGGAATACAAGCAACCATCAGAGAATATTATAAACACCTCTATCTGTATCAACTAGAAAATCTAGAATAAATGGATAAATTCCTGGACATATACACCCTACCAAAAGTGAACCAGGAAGAAATTGAATCCCTGAACAGACCAATAACAAGTTCTGAAATTGAGGCAGCAATAAATAGCCTACCAACCAAAAAAAAAAAAAAAAAAAAAAGCCCAGGACCAGACGGCTTCACAGCTGAATTCTACCAAATGTACAAAGAAGAGCTGGTACCATTCCTACTGAAACTATTCCAACAAATTGAAGAGGAGAAACTCCTCCCTAACTCATTCTATGAGGCTAACATCATCCTGACACCAAAACTTTGCAGAGATACAAAAACAAAAGAAAACTTCAGGCCAATATCCTTGATGAATACTGATGCAAAAATCCTCTGCAAAATTCTAGCAAACTGAATCCAGCTTATCCAAAAAGATAAATCGAGCTTTATCTCAAAAAACTGAGTGAACAGGCAACCTACAGAATGGGAGAAAATTTTTGCAATCTACTCATCTGACAAAGGGCTAATATCCAGAATCTACAAAGAACTCAAACAAATTTACAAGAAGAAAACAAACAGCACCATCAACAAGTGAGCGAAGGATATGAACAGACACTTCTCAAAAGAAGACATTTATGCAGCCAACAGACACATGAAAAAATGCTCATCATCACTGGCCATCAGAGAAATGCAAATCAAAACCACAATGAGATACCATCTCACACCAGTTAGAATGGCGATCATTAAAGAGTCAGGAAACAACAAGTGCTGGAGGGGATGTGGAGAAATAGGAACACTTTTACACTGTTGGTGGGACTGTAGACTAGTTCAACCATTGTGGAAGACAGTGTGGCGATTCCTCAGGGATCTAGAACTAGAAATACCATGTGACCCAGCCATCCCATTACTGGGTATATACCCAAAGGATTATAAATCATGCTGCTATAAAGACACATGGCACACATATGTTTATTGTGGCACTATTCACAATAGTAAAGACTTGGAACCTCCCCAAATGTCCATCAGTGATAGACTGGATTGAGAAAATGTGGCACATGTACATCATGGAATACTATGCAGCCATAAAAAAGGATGAGTTCACGTCCTTTGTAGGGGCATGGATGAAGCTGGAAACCATCATTCTCAGTAAACTATCGCAAGGACAAAAAACCAAACACCGCATGTTCTCACTCATAGGTGGGAATTGAACAATAACAACACTTGAACACAGGAAGGGGGACATCACACACCGGGGCCTGTCGTGGGGTAGGGGGAGGGGGGAGGGATAGCCTTAGGAGATATACCTAATGTAAATGACGAGTTAATGGGTGCAGCACAGCAACATGGCACACGTATACATATGTAACAAACCTGCACGTTGTGCACATGTACCCTAGAACTTAAAGTATAATAAAAATATATATATATAAAATATTAATAAATATTGAATCTTCCAACCACCCAAAAAAGGAAAAGAATGCACAATATCTTATTAATAATTTTATATGGTTTACATTTTGAAATGATAACATTATGAACTTACTGTATTGGATTAAATAAAAACATTTTTTAATAAAAAAAAAAGCTTGTCCACCAGAGTTAAATAGGCTTTATCCCTGGGATGCAAACTTGGTTCATCATTGCAAATCAATAAATGTGATTTATCACATAAACAGAACTAAAGACCAAAACCACTTGATTATCTCAAGAGATTCAGAAAAGATTTTTGATAAAATTCAACATCCCTTTACTTGAAAAACTCTGACCAAACTAGATACTGAAGAAATGAATATACCTCAAACTAATAAGAGCCATAGAAGACAAACTCACAGCCAACATCATACTGAATGGGTAAAAGCTGGAAGCATTCTCCTTGAAAACCGGCACAAGACAAGGACGCCCTCTCTCACCGCTCCTGTTCAACATAGTATTGGAATTTCTGGCCAGAGCAATCAGGCAAAAGAATGAAATAAAGGGCATTCAAATAAGAAGAGAGGAAGTCAACCTATCCCTGTTTCCAGATGACATGATTCTGTATCTAGAAAACCCCAGTCGTCTCAGCCCAAAAGCTTCTTAAGCTGATAAGCAACTTTAGCAAAGTCTCAGGATACGCAATTAATGTGTAAAAATCACTAGCATTCCTATACATGAACAACAGTACAAGTGAGAGCCAGATCATAAACGTACTCCCCTTTTCAGTTGCCACAAAAAGAATAAAATACCTAGGAATATAGCTAACAACAAAGCGAAAGATCTCTGCAAGGAGAACTATAAATCACTGCTCAAACAAATCAGAAATTACACAAAGAAATGGAGAAACATTCCATGCTCATGGATAGGAAGAATCAGTATTGGTAAAATGGCCAAAATGCCCAAAGCAATTTATAAATTCATTGCTATTCTGATTAAACTACCATTGACATCTAGTTCTGTAAACTACCATTCACAGAACTAGAGAAAACTATTTTAAAATTTGTACTGAACCAAAAAAGAGCCTGAATAGCCCAAGCAATCGTAAGCCTAAAAAACAAAGCTGGAGGCATCACACTACCCAACTTCAAACTATACTATGGGGCTACAGTGACCAAAATAGCATGGTAGTGGTACAAGAATAGACACATAACCAAAGGAACAGAATAGAGAATCCAAAAATAAGACTGCACATGTACAACTATCTGATCTTGAAGAAACCTGACAAAAACAAGCAATGGGGAAAGGATTCCCTATTCAATAAATGGTGCTGGGATAACTGGCTAGCCATAGGTCGAAAATTGAAACTAGACCCTTCCTGACACCATACACAAGAATTAATTCAAGGTGGATTAAAGACTTAAGTGTAAAACCCGAAACTATAAAAACCCTGGAAGACAGCCTAGGCAACTACATTCAGGACATTAGGTACTGGCAAAGATTTCATGACAAAAGTGTCGAAAGCAATTACAGTCAAACCAAAAATTGACAAATGGGATCTAAGCTTCTGCACAGCTAAAGAAACTATCAACAGAGTAAATAGACAACCTACACAATGGCAGAAAATTTTTGCAAACTATGCATCTGACAAAGGTCTAATATCTAGCATCTATAAGGAACTTAAATACATTTAGAAGAAAAACCACCCCATTAAGACATGTGCAAAGGACGTGGATACTTCTCAAAAGAAGATGTACATACAGCCAACAAACATATTTAGAAAAGCTCAACATCACTGATCATTAGAGAAATGCAAATCAAAACCACAGTGAGATATCATATCCTACCAGTCAGAATGGCTATTATTAAAGAGCTGAAAAATAACAAGACGCTTGTGAGGTTGTGGATAAAAGGAAGGCTTATACACTCTTGGTAGGAGTGTAAATTAGTTCAGCCATTGTGGAAGACAGTGTGGCAATTCCTCAAAGACCTAAAATCAGAAATAGCATTTGACCCAGCAATCCCATTACTGGGTATATACCCAAAGGAATATAAGTTGCTCTGTTATAAAGACACATGCACCCATATGTTCATTGCAGTACTTATGACAATAGCAAACATATGGAATCAACCCAAGTGCCCATCAATGATAGACTGGATAAAGAAATGTGGTACACATACACCATGGAATATAAGGCAGCCACAAAAGAGAATGAAGATATGTCCTTTGCAGGGACACGGATGGAGCTGGAAGTCATTATCCTTAGCAAAGTAACACAGGAGCAGAAAACCAAATATTACATGTTCTTACTTAGGAATGGGAACTGAATGGTGAGAATACATGGACACGTATAGAGGAAGAACACACACCAGGGCCTACTTGAGGGTAGAAGGTGGGACGAGGGACAGTATCAGGAAAAATAACTAGTGGATACTAGTCTTAATACCTGGGTAATGAAATAATTGTTACAACAAACCCCCATGACACACGTTTACCTGTGTAACAAACCTTCACATCCTGCACTTGTACCCGTGAACTTAAAAAAGAAAAAGTGCTTCCTTCTAGCCTTTCTGGTTTCTGGTAAGAAATTGATTGTCATTTGTATTACCTTTCCCACTTTCCTGCTGTTTTTTTTTTTTTTCTTTTTTTGAGACAGAGTGTCGCACTGTCGCCCAGGCTGGAGTACAATGGCGTTATCTCGGCTCCCTGCAACCTCTGCCTCCCAGGTTCAAGCAATTCTCCTACCTCAGCCTCCTGAGTAGCAGGGATTACAGGCAGGGTTTGGCTATGTTAGCTAGGCCGGTCCTTTCCTGCTGTTTTTAAGGTATTTCCAGCCGGGCATGGTGGCTCACGCCTGTAATCCCAGCACTTTGCAAGGCCAAGACGGGTGGATCAGCTGAGGTCGGGAGTTCGAGGCCAGCCTGGCCAACATGGAGAAACCCCATCTCTACTAAAACCACAAAAATTAGCTGGGCGTGGTGGCGCATGCCTGTAATCCCAGCTACTCAGGAGGCTGAGGCGGGAGAATCGCTTGAACCCAGGAGGCGGAGGTTGTGGTGAGCCGAGATCGTGCCATTGCACTCCAGTCTGGGCAACAAGAGTGAAACTCTGTCTCAAAAAAAAAAAAAAAAAGATATTTCCTTTGTCTTTAGTTTTCGAATATTTGGCCATCATAAATCTTGGTGTGGATTTCATTAACTGTACCCTCTTTCAGGTTTTTTAAACTCTTGAATCTCTATATTGAGTTGTTATTTTTTTTTAAATGTATCCTATCCTTTTATCCCTCTTCTTTGACACTCAGATGATATTAACTTTAGTTCTTTTGTTATTGTTTGACAATTCTTGGGGACTTTATTTTTTTTTCCAAACCGTTTTCTTCTTTTCCAGATTGGATGACTTCTAGTGTGTTATCTCCTAGCTTGCTGATTGTTTTCGCATGTTTCTTTCATTCTAGTATTGAGCACATCCATTAAGTTTTGTATTTCAGTTATTGTGTTTTTCAGGTATAAAATTTCTATTTGGTCTTCCTGTGTATCTTCTACTTCTTGATTAAGATTCTTTTTCTTTGCTGTGACTTTTTGCTCATAAAATTTGTTTCATGTGTTTTTATAATTCCTTTTTGAATAATTTTTATCATGACAAGACTAAAATTTTTTCAGGCAACTCTAGCATCTCTGCTGCCTTGGTCTTAGCACCTGTCATTAGCCTTTTTTCATTCAGTTTGAGATCTTCCTGGTTCTTTGTATGACAACTTATTTTTTAATAAAACCTGAACATTTTGGGTCTTATGAGAATGTAGTCTTTATTTAAATTATCTGGTGTAGCTGTCTCATTCTGACACTTCATCTGAGAGTAGTCCCTCTACCTCTTTGCTCCAAGGTTGAGGTGGGAGTCGGGTTTTTTACTTGGCCTCCTTGGTAGGTAAGGCGGAAGGTTTTCCATGTTACTGCTGTGTAGGCATGTTAGTTTTGGCTCCCTGGTAGGTCTCCAGTGAACCCCTTTTGGCTAGGATTGGTAGGAGTATCTTTGTGGGGTTGGTTGAAGATGTTTGGAAGATTTCATGTAGAACTTGAGTTTTAATATGCTTTCACCAGAAATATAAAGCAGTGGAGGAGATCATAAATCAATTTGCATCCTCTCTGGAAAGCCATAGGCATATGCTATATTCATGCATGTATCAGAAATTACAATATTAACTGGCTCTCTATAATGCCTCGTAATTTTACTGGTTCTTGTCAAAAAGTGGTTAGTAAACGTTTTCTGCCAGGTACAGTGGCTCATGTCTGTAATCCCAGCACTTTGGGAGGCCGAGGTGGGTGGATTGCTTGAGCTTAGAAGTTCAAACCAGCCTGAGCAACAGCGAAACCCAGTCTTAACAAAAATACAAAAAAATTTAGCTGGGCATGGTGGCGAACGCCTGTGGTCCCAGCTACTTGGGAAGCTGAGGGAGAAGGATCATTTGAGCCTAGGCGGTGGAGGTTGCAGTGAGCCGAGATCGCACCACTGCGTTCTAGCCTGGGCGACAGAGCAACACTCCATCTCAAAAAATAAATAAATAAATAAAAAGAGGCCATATGTTAAATATTTTAGATTTTGTGGGCCAAGAGGCAAAATTGAGAATTGTACCTAGGTACTTATAAGAAAGAAAACAAATTTTCTCAGATTTTTTTGATTTATGAAATCAAAATTTACTAATAGTAATGGAGTACAATGTTTATAATTTGTGTTTACTAATATGAAGAATGAAAGATGGTGGAAATAACAGTTTAGAGTTTATGTTTAGTAGGGTTTATAGTTTGTGTTCCCTGTCATCAAAATTAGTTGCACATGTTCATCTGTTAATGCTAATCTGTATGGAGTATTTTATCCTTGCAAATGTCTTTTCATGAAAATTGTTATTGGCACATACTAATCTTGATCCATTATCTTGATTTAACTTGGCATATTAATCATTTGGAATACATTTTTAGAATTCTGTTAGGTTTTCGTGCCTTTGAGCGTGTCATTGCATTACAGATTAATCACTTAATGAAGATAAGAAGTGGAAAGTTCTCAGTTGTAGAGTTAAATAGACTTATGGAAATTTCCTTTCAGTTTGCATGAGGTCAAAAATATTTGGCTGGAAATGTAATTTGAAAATTTATCTGCTGCCCGTTTGTCAGGAAAGGAGATTTTGCTTCTTTAACTTTTGTCAGAAAAAGAATGTGTTAACTTTCAACAGCATAAAACAGCTTGAAAGTACTTAGAATTCAAACAATGTTTGCAGTTGTTAAATGACTATCGTAATATAAGTTTTGCATATAATCATTGTTTTGGCTTATAATTTTAGATTGATTACATTAATACCATGAAATCTTTACATCAGTTTCTCTTTTTGAATTTTTAAATGTATATGTAAAGGCTTTATTAATTATTGATTCAAACTGTTTCTTCTTTTGTGAACTTTGATGGTGTCTTTAAGGAATTGGTTTATTCCATCAAGATTATCAGATTCTTGATTCATGTCTTGTTCATAATATTCCTTTATTATCCCTTTAATGTCTATGACATCTGCAGTGATGTTTCCTCTTTGTTTCTGATATTCATGATTTGTGCTTTCAGTGAACTTGGCGAGAGGTGTATTGATTTTATCAAAGAATCACCTTTTGGTTTCATTCATTTTTCTCTTTAGATTTCCCATTTTCAGTTGCATTGATTTCTGCTCAAATTTTTGTTATTTATTTGCTTCTGCTTAATTTGGATTTAAGTTGCTGTCATATAGCTAGTTTGATAAGGTGGAGGCTTAGATTATTAATTTTAAATCTTTCTTCTTTTCTAATATATGCATTCAATGTTATAAATTTCCCTCTAAACACTGCTTTTACTGCCTCCCTTACATTTTGATAAATTATGGTATCATTATTTAAATAAAAATATTTCTAAATATATTTTGAGATTTATTTTTGACATGTTCTTTAGAAGTGTTTTGTTTAATCTATAGGTATTTGGGGATACTTCTTTTATTCTCCTGTTATTGATTTCTAGTTTAATTCCGTTATGGTCTGAGAGCCAACACTATAATTTTGTGGTAAGATGTGAACGTGGTCCTTTTGGTGAATGTTCCATGTTAGTTTGAGAAGAGTGTCTATTCTGCTTTTATTGGATGAAGTCATCAATAGATGAGAGTATATCAAATTGATTATTAGTGCTGTTGAATTCAGCTATATCCTTATTGATTTTTTTCTTGTGAGATTTGTTCATTTATGATAGAGGATTGTTAGTCTCCAACTGTAACAGGGGTTTCATCTATTACTCCTTGCACTTCTATCAGTTTTTGCCTCATGTATTTTAATGTTCCGTTGTTAGGTGTATATATGCTAAGGACTGTTATGTATTCTTGGAAAATTCATCCCTTTATCATAATATATTGCCCCTCTTTATTCCTGAAAACTTTTCTTGCTTTGAAATCTGCTCTGTCTGAAATTAATACGCTACCTTCACTTTCTTTTGATCAGTGTTAGCATGGCATTTCTTTCTCCATCCTTTCACTTTTATCTGTAAGTATTTTTAAATTTGAAGTGGATTTTTTGGTAGAAAATGTATAATTGGACCTTATTTTTTTAATCTACCCTGACAATCTCTGTTTTTTAATTGGTGCATTCGGACCATTGACATTCAACATCGTTATTGATGTAGGTGAATTAATATCTACCATATTTTAAACTTTTTTATTTGTTGCCTTTGACCTTTGTTCTTGTTTTGTCTCCCACTCTTCTACCTTTTGTGTTTCTAATTGAACATTTTATGTAATTTGAATTTCTCTTTTGTCATAGCATTATCAGTTAGGCCTCTGTTTTTAATTTTTATTTTTATTATTTTTTTGAGACAGAGTCTGGCTCTGTCTCCCGGGCTGGAGTACAGTGGCGCGATCTCTGCTCACTGCAACCTCCGCCTCCTGGGTTCAAGCGATTCTCCTGCCTCAGCCTCCCTAGTAGCTGGGACTACCAGTGCGTGCCACCACGCCCGGGTAATTTTTTGTATTTTTAGTAGAGATGGGGTTTCACCGTGTTAACCAGGATGGTCTTGATCTCCTGACCTCATGATCCGCCCACCTCGGCCTCCCAAAGTGCCGGAAATACAGGTGTGAGCCACCACGCCCTGCCTGTTTTTATTTTTTAATGGTCATCCTAGAGTTTTTAATACACGTTTCAACTAAACGAAGTCCAATAACACTATATTCACAAGCAGTGTGAGAAAATAATCCTAATTCCTCTCTTCCACGCAGTGTATGCTTACTGGAATTCATTTAACTTTATAAAAGCATGCAGAAGAATACATGTGTATATAAGCCTACATAATCATATACATTGTTGCTATTATTATTTTGAACAAACTATTATGTTAGATAAATCAGGAAAAAGAAAAATTTTTACTTTACCTTCATTTATTTCTTCTCTAACGCACTTTATTTAAGAAGATCTCAGTTTCTGACTGATAATCATTTTTCTTCTTTCTGAAGAAATTCTTTTAACATTTCTTGTATGTCAGGGCTCCTGGCAGCAAATTAGCCAATTTTTTTACTGCCCGAGAAAGTCTTTATTTCACCTTCACATTTTTTCCTTTATTTTTAGCTGACATGTAGTAATTGTACATATTTATAGTCTACAGAGTGATATTTCAATACATTTACACAATGTGTAATTATAAAATCAGGGTATTTCGCATATCCGTAATCTCAAACACTTAACAATTCTTTTTACTGTGAACATTCAAAAGCTTCTCTTCTAGTTTTTTGAAAATATACAATAAATTCTAGTCATCCATATTTATACTACAGTGCTGTAAAGACTAGAGCTTACTCCTATTTTTCTTTTCTTTTTTTTTTTTTGAGATGGAATCTCGCTCTGTCCCCCAGGCTGGAGTGCAGTGGTGCGATCTCGGCTCACTGCAACCTCTGCCTCCCGGGTTCATGCCATTCTCCTGCCTCAGCCTCCCGAGTAGCTGGGACTACAGACGCCCACCACCACTCCTGGCTAATTTTTTGTATTTTTAGTAGAGACGGGGTTTCACCATGTTAGCCAGGATGGTATTGATCTCCTGATCTCGTGATCCACCCGCCTCAGCCTCCCAAAGTGCTGGGTTACAGGCATGAGCCACTGCGCCTGGTCCTTACTCCTATTATCTACCTTTAAGTTTGTGTTCATTAACCAGCCTCTTCCCATCCTTCCCTACCCACTCCCCTTCTAAGCCTCTAGCAACCACAATTCTACTCTCTACGTCTATGACCTCTTTTTTTGTTTTTAATGGATACTACATATGCATGAGAACATGCAGTATTTATCTCTCTGACTTATTTCACATAACATAATGTCCTCCAGGGTGATCCATATTGCTGTGTATGAATGCATTTAATTCTCTCTCTCTTTTTTATGACTGAATAGCAATCAATTATGTATATACGACACATCATTCTCTTTATCCATTCATCTGTTGATGGATGTTTAGTTTGATTCCATATCTTGGATATTGTGAATCATGCTTCAGTAAACATGGGAATGTAAGTATCCCTTTGACATAATTGATTTCCTTGCTTTTTGATAAATGCCCATTCCTGTGATTGCTGGATCAGATGGTAATTAAATTTTTACTTTTTGAGGAACCTCCATACTGTTTTTCATAATGGCCGTACTAATTTACATATCCACAAACAGTGCATAAGTTCCTGTTTCTCTTCGTCGTCACCAGCATATGTTATCTTTGATCTTTTATAATAGCCATTCTGACTGGGGTGAGATGATATCTCATTGCAGTTTTGATTTATGTTTCCCTGATGACTAGGGATGTTGAGCATTCATTCATATATTTGTTGGCTATTTGTTTGTCTTCTTTTGAGATGTCTATTCAGATTCTTTTTCCAGTTTTTTTTTTTTTTTTGACGGAGTTTTACGCTTGTTGCCCATGCTGAAGTCGAATGGCACGATCTCGGCTCACTGCAACCTCTGCCTCCCGAATTCAAGCGATTCTCCTGCCTCAGCCTCCTGAGTAGCTGGGGACTATAGGCACGTACCACCACGCCCGGCTAATTTTTGTATTTTTAGTAGAGATGGGGTTTCACCCATGTTGGCCAGGATGGTCTCGATCTCTTGACCTCATGATCTGCCCGCCTCGGCCTCCCAAAGTGCTGGGATGACAGGTGTGAACCACCGCTCCCGGCCCCTTTTTCCAGTTTTTAATCAGATTTTTTGATGGGTTGTGTGAGTTCCATATATATTCTGGACATTATTCCCTTGTCAGGTAAATAATTTGCAAATATTTTCTTTCATTCAACAGACTATATTTCTTTACTCTGTTGATCTTCTTTTTTTGCTCTACAGAAGCTTTTTAGTTTGGTATAGTTCCGTTTGTCTATTTTTGTTTTTATTGCCTGTGCCTTTGAAATCTTTAAAATCTTTGCTTAGACAGATGTCCTGAAGCATTTCTTATATGTTTTCTTGTAGTTATTTTGTAATTTCAGGTCACAGGTTTAAATCTTTAATCCATTTTGAGTTGATTTTTGTGGTGAGAAGGATGTACTTTCATTCTTCTGCATATAAATATCCAATTTTCCAACACCATTTAGATATTTTATTCTTTTTAGCAGGTATTGACTGCAAATGGGCTTGCTTTCCTGATTTTTTTTTCAGCTAGTTGGTTATTCTATAAAAACATCACTGATTCTTGCATGTTGATTTTGTATCCTGCAACTTTACTGAATTTGTTTAGAAGTTCAAAGATATTTTATCCTTTTATAGATTCAGGAGGGATATGTGCAGGTTTGTTACACACACATATATATATATATAGCATAATGGTGGGATTTGGGTTTCTAGTTTAGTCATCATCTGACTAGTGAATATTGTACCCAATAGGTAATTTTTCAACCCCAACCTCCCCTCTTTTGGAATCCCCAGTTTCTATTATTTTTCTTCCTAGAGTTTTTTGAAGAGTCTTCAGGATTTTTTATATGTAAGATTATGTCATCTGCAAAGAGGGACAACTTGCCTTTCTCCTTTCTAATTTAGATGAACTTTATTTCCTTTTGTGGCCTAATTTTTCTTACAAGGAATTCCAGTTCTATCTTAAATACAAGTTGTAAAAGTATACATTCTTTTCTTGTTCTAGTTCTTAAAGGCTTTTAGCTTTTCTCCATTCAGTGTGATATTGTCTGAGTGTTTTTCATATTTGGACTTTATTGTGTTTAGGTATAATCTTTCTATACTTAATTTTTTAGAGTGTTTATTATGAAGGGAGTTGAATTTTATCAGATGCTTTCTTTGGATTTGAGATGATCATATGATTTGCTTTTCATCTATCATTCTGTTGATGTGATGTAGCACATCTATTGATTTTTATATGTTGAACCATCCTCGCATACCTGGGATAAATTCCACTCAATCGTAGTGTATTTTTTTTTTTTTTTTGATGTGCCTTTGGATTCAGATTCCTAGTATTTTGTTCAGGATTTTTGCATCTATGCTAATCATGGATACTGACCTCTAGTTTTTTTTGTGATTGTTGTTGCATCCTTCTTTAGTTTTGGTATCTGGGTACTACTGACCTCGTAGAATGAATTAGGAAGAATTTCCACCTTTTTAATTTTTTGGAAGAGTTTCAGCAAAATAGATGTTCTTCTTTTAAAGCTTTTTGGTCCTGGGCTTTTTGTTGGGAGACTTTTTTATTGCCAGTTTAATCTCGTTACTCATTATTGATCTGCTCAGGTTTTCTATTTCTTCCTGATTTAATTTGTGAGATTATATGTGTCCAGGAATGTATCCATTTAATATAAGTTTTCTAATTTCTTAGTGTGCAGTTGTTCATAATAATTTCTAGTGGTCCTTTGTATTTCTGTTGTATCAGTTGTAATGTCTCATTTTTTATTTCTGATTTTACTTATTTGAGTCTTCCTTTTTTCTTGATTAGTCTAGCTACTGGTTTGTAAATATAGTTTATCTTTCGATAAAACCAGTGTTTCTTGTGATCCTTTGTGGGTTTTTGTCTCTATTTACTTCTGCTCTGATGTTTCCTTCTTCTTATTTTAGGTTTGGCTTGTTCTTCCTTTTCTGGTTTCTTGAGGTGCTTTGTCAGATTGATTAAGTGAAATTGTTCAAATGGTTTAAGTGTTTATTGCTGTAAACTTCCCTTTTAGTACTGTTTCTCAGTACACTATAAGTTTTTGGTATGCTGTTTCTATATTAATTTGTTTCAAGACTTCTTTGGTGTCTTTAAATTTCTTAATTGAACCATAAGTTTCTCAGGGTCTTTTCTCTTTTTTTCTTGATTAATCTTATTAATTTTTGATTTTCATGTATTTGTAGAATTTCCAAAGTTCCTCTTGTTACTAATTTCTAGTTTTACTCCATTATGGTTTGAGAAGACACTTGATATAATACTGATTTTTGAAAATTTCTTGAGGCCAGTCTTGTGGCCTAACATGTGGTCTGTCTTGTAGAATGTTCTATGTGCTGATGTCAAAAAATGGATCTAAAATGGTTTACAGGCCATATTTGGTCCAACAGCTGCAGTTGGACCAAATATGTTCTGTAAGCCATCTTTAGATCCATTTGGACACACATTTTTGAAGGATAACTTTGTTGGGTATAGTGTTATTAATCAGTAGGTATTTTTTGTTTTAGTACTTTGCTTAAACCATTTTTTTTCTCTCTTGGCTTATAATGGTTCTGCTGAGAAATTTACTGTTAGTCTGAAGGGGATTCCCTTATATGTAACTTGATGCCTTTTGCTGTTTTTAGAATTATTTCTTTGTCTTTGACTCTTGGCAGTTTGAGAGATATATGTCTCAGGGATGACATTTTTGGGTTGAGTATTTTGGGGACATTTGACCTTTCCAGATCTTGATGTCTGTCTCTCAAGATTTGGGAAGTTGTCAGCCATTATTTTACGAAATAAGTTTTCTATGCCTTTTCTACACTCATTTCCTTCTATAATTCACAAAATGTGAATATTTATTTACTTGATGGTTTCCCATGTCATGTAGGTTTATTCATTCTTTTTTAAATTTTTTTTTCCTTTTGTCTGGGTTATTTTTAAAAACCTATCTTCAAGTACTAAAATTATCTTCTGCTTGATCTAGTCGATTGTTGAAGCTTTCAATTGTATTTTTTTAATTTTAATCATTGAATTCTTGAGTTCCGGGATTTCTGTTTAGTTGTTTTTTATGACATTCTATTTAATTTCTCATTTAGATCACCAGTTGTTTTTTTTTTCTGATTTATGTATATTTTCTATCTGTGTTCTTTTGTATCTACTAAGTTTTAAAAGATTATTATTTAAATTTGTTAAGGTATTTCATAGATTTTCTTTTGGGGCTCTGTTATTGGAGAATTATTGTGTTTCTATGGCAGTGTCATATTTCCTTTTTCATGTGTCTTGCATCCCTACATTGATAACTGTGTATATGGTTAGCAATTTCGTCTTTCAGTTTTCTGGATTAGCTTTTTTAGGTAAACTTTTTTCTGTAGACATATCTATAGTGTCATTTGGGTAGAGTGTTTTGGCTTTGGTTCAGGTGGTTGCATTAGTGTAGTCTCTGTATGGTTACTTTGGCTGTAAATAATGTTAACAGTGTCTGCAGTTTCCCTAGGGCGTTCAGGTGAGGTTGTTCATGGAGTCAGCGACAAGACTTTCCTGGCAACATGGATATTTGGTGGGCTTGTTCTTTGGCTCCTAAGGGTTGTGCACAGGCACTGGCAGTGTTAGCAGTGGGTTGTTCTTGGGCTCCTGGGTGGTGATTGGAGGCACATGGTGGCCTTACCACTGGAGTTCATGAGGTCATCATTTGTGGTACGCACTAGGTGGGCCAGCCCTCAGGCCCGAAGTCTCCCTGTTTACACATTGACTGTAGTTGTAGCAGGCCCTGGTTGAGCCAGTCTTTGAGTTCACAGGTGGCACACATGGGTGCCTTCATTTTTAGATGGATATTTTATCAAGGTACAAACTTTTGGATTCAATTTATCTCAAGTATTTTAAACATATTGTCCCATTGTCTTCTGGATTTGATAGTTTCTGTTAAAAATTCAGCTTTAAGTTTTCTTGTTTTTCTTTTGAAAGTGATATGTCTTTTTTCTCCCTCTGACTGTTGTTAAAGTGTTCTTGTTATCTTTGATTTTCAGCATTTTGAGTGTTGGTTGTGGTTTTTTTCACCTTTGCCAGTGTGGTGTTTGCCATACTTCTTAAGTCAGAACATTAATATATTGTATCAGTTTTGGGCTAGTCTCAGCAATTTTTAACTTTTTCTGAAAGTATTGTTTCTCCTCACTTTCTGTCTGCTTTATTCTAACTGGAATTATATTTGTGTTGAAGTGTTTAATTCCCACATATCTCTTATGCTCTGTTCATTTCATTTCTTTCTTGCTGTGCTTCAGTGTGGATATTTCCTGCTGACCTATATTCAAATTCACTAATCTGTGCTTTGCTGTATTCAGTCAGTTATAAAACCCACCCACCAACTGCTTAATTGCAGATAGTGTGTTTTTCAGATATAAAATCACTATTTAATTTTTAAAATAGATTTTCATTCTTTGTTGAAGTTTTCCTTTTTTCATCTACTTTGAAGATCTTTTTTAAAGTCCTTGTCTTCTAACTCTATATCATCTGTGGGTCTGTTTATATTTATTCTCTTTTCCCTTGATTGTTAGTCACATTTTGTGCCCCTTTCCATACCTTGTAATTTTCATCATATACCAAATATTGTTTATAATAGAGCAGCAGAAATTGAACTAAATATTATTTTTCTTCAATTCTGTATTAGAAAGATAAGATCAAGTGCTAATCACCTCAACTCAATTATGAATCTTACTGCATCAAGTCTGGGTGGCAGCTTTCGATACACTTAGAATGCCTTTGATTTTAAATGTCCTAATGACAACAACTGTTGTGTTGCAGACTCTTCTGTCTGGTGACTTTGTATTTATATACTGTAAAATTGTTGGAGATTTTACTCTACCTTTCTGGTCCTGCTCCTTTTACTCATTTCCTCTGGCTCCCCACCCACTAAGGGGATGCTTTTGGTTGAGAGCAAATATCTTGTGGGAAGACCTATTAAAATTTTATCCTCACAGTGGTAGGCTACATCTGTTCTAGTGTGACTTTGTCTTCTAATCACCACAACATTACAGGGATTATTATTTGCCCCATGGCCTGTTCTCCCAACTGCTGCCCCAAATCCTCTTAGGTAATTCTGGCACTCAGCAAATTTTTCAGGGAGAAAACTGTCTGTAATTTTGGACTTCATCAGATTCCAGTTTTTCATGCCAGCTTACAAATTATCAAGAGCTGTGCTGTTTTTTCTTTTCCTTAGTAGTGTCCTTCTTTCTTAGCTAGTCTGTCTAACTGGCAAATCCTTCCAGAAATTAAAATAATCAGCAGGATTAGCTGACTTAAGAGATATTAATCATCCTGCAAATTTAGTTTCTCCTTTCTATTTCCCTTGCTCGCCAATATTTTTAAAAATATGATTTTGTAGTTTGTCTCTTTTTTTCCTAGTTGTTGTGGGGGCAGTGACTTGCTACTGTGTACTAGTAAATTAATCTTGTAACAGTAAGAACAACATTTAGACCGACATGTTTATTATTTTATGTAATGTATTTATATAGAGTTGGTGTGCTTAAAGTAGTGGATTGTTATTGAAATGTTGGCTTGTTTAGAATATTAATATTTGTTGCTAAATTCACCAGGCCTATAAATAAATCAATAGTAATGTTTGGGGAAAAATGAAAAAAAAAAAGCTATTTTTCATTTCAAAATGTCTTTTGGTCAGCAATAGCTTAAATGAAATGTAGACAAAAATTAATTTTTTTTTCTTTTCCCCATTTCTATTTAGTGAGTGATAGTTGCTTCAGGAATCTTGCAGAAGACCGCAGTGGGATAAATCTCAAAGATCTCGTACAAGATCCTTCTTTGTGAGTATTGTGCTTTCAGTATTAAGTATAAATTAAAACTTTATTATTAGTGTTCCTTTTCTCAAAAGAGTTTTATGTGAAAACTTATTTAAGGTACAACAATTTTTTCTTTTCTAATAATGCGTTTTACACATATTGAAGTCTGACAGAACAGTTCAGAAATAGAATAGATTTTAGAAGGAATGATGTCATGATTAATGATTGATTTTCAAGGAGGAATCCTGATGGCTGATGATATCTTGCCAATGTGGCAGTAGCTACTAGCCAAGAAAGATGATTAGTAGTTGATTTCCTTGGGAAAGAGAGATTGAATTTGTTTACAACAATTTGAAGTTTTTTGAATATATTGTTTATAGTAATTATTTGTAATTATAATTAGAAATATAAAGTAGTTATTTGTTATAACAATATACATTTGAATATGTTAGATATATTTCTGATGTTTTACATATGGCACAAGAATTTTGGAGAGTTTGATAGATTTCAGTTTTTAATTTTTTTGCTCATCAGTCAGTCCCATTCTTTATTGGCATATCTTTCTAATACATATACTCTACAATAATGTCACTTTCTATTTCATAAATTTTTTTTACACTTTTATATTTACTGGTAAATATGCATACTATCTATGAACATACCTTCCCAATAAGATCACTGTTTATTAAAAAAAAATAATTAAAACTAGTTAAGCCTGCGAAGCAGAGTAAAGAAAATTGAATACTGCCAGGTGCCTTCTATAATGATACATATAATGCATACAATTAAATATGTCCTAATAGGAAATTCATCTCCCAGATCACATGTAATATACCCTCCCACGGGAGTCACTAATAAGTCATTGAGAATTTTGTGAGGAATAAACACAAGAATATCTTGAACTTGAAGATTATTGATTCTTTAATGATTGACTAGTCATGTTAAAAAATATGAGAGTGCTGAAAATGTATCGAATATTGAAGTTTATATATGATGTCGTGAGTTCAGAATGCATTTCCAAGTCTACCTCTCTCCATTTTTTTCTTTTCTCCATCTTTCTTTTTCTAACTCAAAAGGATTGCAAATATTCCTCCTCCTTGATTTTTATCCCTACTATGAAGATTGACAGTTGTCCTTTGAGTCCTGTGAAAATTTAACCAACAATGTAATTATTCTGTTAGGATGTAAATATACCTAGTGAATAACATTTAATTGCATTAAGAGTTCTACTATCCTTATGGATATGGGTGGAAACTTTACAATTTCCTCAAAAGACTTTGCTTATTTGAATGAATAAAATAAATTACTGGCCAGGCGTGGTGGCTCATGCCTGTAATCCCAGAACTTTGGGAGGCTGAGGTGGGTAGATCACAAGGTCAGGAGATCAAGACCATCCTGGCCAACATGGTGAAACCCCGTCCCTACAAAAAATACAAAAATTAGCTAGGCGTGGTGGCATGTGCCTGTAGTCCCAGCTACTTGGGAGGCTGAGGCAGGAGAATCTCTCGAACCCGGGTGGCGGAGGTTTCAGTGAGCTGAGATTGCACCACTGCACTCCAGCCTGGGCGACAGAGCGAGGCTCCATCTCAAAAAAAAAATTATTATTGTATTATTTGTAAGATATGTTTTAGTAAAATAAGAATGTATGTCTGTTTAATGCAGCAATATGATGAAAATATTTGCTCATATGAACTCCAATTATATAAAAGATTTGAAGAACTACACTTGAATAATGGATTATAATAATCAATTGCCATGTTTTGGAAAAACTTGTTGCTTCTTCCTGGAATGTAGAATAACATTCATCATTTAACCTACCACTAAATTCTATATTTAATTTTAGTATTCTAAAAAAAAAATTCATCTCAGACTACTTCATTGGAAGGACAAAATAATTCTCAGTGTACCTGTCTTAAAACAGCCGGAAATATCTTAATATAGCATCATTCTCCTAACCTGCCATTATCCTCTTGGATTAGTCTAGTATGTAAGAATGTCAGCATTCATGGAGAAAGAGTTTGTTTTTACTCCTGCCTGCTTGGCTTTCTAAGGAATTTTTTCTTTATTAAGAACTGTCAGGATATACTATTGATGACTTGAATTCATATTTTAAAGATATATTTCTCATTAGGTAAAATCTTTTAGAGAAAGAAATGCCCAATGTGGAAATATATATATATATATATATATATATATATATATATATATATATATATATGTTCATATATATATGTTCATATATATATATGTTCATATATATATATTCATATTCTTGTGTTGTTATGATGGGAAATATTTTATTCTGAGTTCCTGTCTGATTGCAGTATTCATTTAGTATGTACATTGTAGGTGAGTATTTTTTTTTTTTAAGCTAGGTGCCTCTTTTCTGTCTCAGACTCTTGGCATAAATGTTCACTACTTTTCATTGATTCAGGTATACTAGATGGTCCTACAAGGAGTTGAATTGTTAATGGTGCAACATTGAATAGGAAGTATATCAGAAATTTTTTTTGTGTTTTTACAAAAATCTCTTCGGCCAGGCACAGTTTCTCACGCCTGTAATCCCAGCACTTTGGGAGGCCGAGGTGGGCGGATCATGAGGTCAGGAGATCGAGACCATCCTGGCTAACACGGTGAAACCCCGTCTCCACTAAAAGTACAAAAAATTAGCCAGGCGTGGTGGCGGGCACCTGTAGTCCCAGCTACTCAGGAGGCCAAGGCAGGAGAATGGCATGAACCCAGAGGCAGAGCTTGCAGTGAGCAGAGATCGCCCCACCACACTCCAGCGTGGGCAACAGAGCAAGACTCCGTCTCAAAAAAAAAAAAAAACTCCTCCTCAAAAAATCACTGTCATTTGATAACTACTCCAGACTAGTCTGATGGTTATTAAAATTGTATACATGTCATTTTAATACATGTTCCAAATAAAAATTATTAGAATAAGATGTGTGTTGAGTGAATGCTATGTATGTTGATGTGCCTGGCAGATTTTTATTATGACTCACCCATTTGAGCTGCTGATACTGAAAGGAGTTGATGGTAAATAAGAATTAAGAATTTTAGCCTCAATACTGTTAGAAAGGAAGACAGAATAATAGAGCAAGAAAAATTAGGCTAAGGAAAACCCAGGCTTATCTAGTCAATATTGATACTCAGAGTAGTGTATTATATGTCTTAATTGGATAAATGAGCAGATACAGAATTTCTGTGGACAAAGTACAGAAATAAAACTGTAATGAGTTTTATTAAGAATATATGATATAAAACAATGTTTAAACCAAGAGTAGTCAGAGCTAGATGAGGGGCTTACTGCATCAGAGATTGAAAGTGCAGAACCTAAACTGACTAATTCATACTCTGAATCTGTGTCAAGCTAATGGAACAATGATAGGTACTCTGTAATTTACTTTAACTGTATAGTACATACTCCAGTATTTTACTGCCATTGTAGTAAAACTTGTTACTGGGCTTGAATGAACCAAGTGAGCTATTGTGTGAACATGGCAGAGAGATGCCATGGGAGAAAAAAATTTTGAGAAAGTTATGAATCTCTAAGCAAGACTTTCTGGTCTTGCTACTAACTTTTCTTTTTTTTTTTTCTTCTTATACTTTAAGTTCTAGGGTGCATGTGCACAAAGTGCAGATTTGTTACATATGTGTACATGTGCCATGTTGGTGTGCTGCACTCATTAACTCGTCATTTACATTAGGTATATCTCCTAATGCTGTCCCTCCCCTCTCACCCCACCCCACAACAGGCCCCAGTGTGTGATGTTCCCTTCCTGTGTCCAAGTGTTCTCATTGTTCAATTCCCACCTATGAGTGAGAACATGCGGTGTTTGTTTTTTTGTACTTGGGATGGTTTGCTGAGAATGATGGTTTCCAACTTCATTCATGTCCCTACAAAGGACGTGAACTCATCCTTTTTTATGGCTGCATAGTATTCCATGGTGTATATGTACCACATTTTCTTAATCCAGTCTATCATTGATGGACATTTGGGTTGGTTCCAAGTCTTTGCTATTGTGAATAGTGCCGCAATAAACATATGTGTGCCATGTGTCTTTATAGCAGCATGACTTATAATCCTTTGGGTATATACCCAGTAATGGGATGGCTGGGTCACATGGTATTTCTAGTTCTAGATCCCTGAGGAATCGCCACACTGTCTTCCACAACAGTTGAACTAGTTTACAGTCCCACCAACAGTGTAAAAGTGTTCCTATTTCTCCACATCCTCTCCAGCACCTGTTATTTCCTGACTTTTTAATGATTGCCATTCTAACTGGTGTGAGATGGTATCTCATTGTGGTTTTGATTTGCATTTCTCTGATGGCCAGTGATGATGAGCATTTTTTCATGTATCTATTTGCTGCATAAATGTCTTCTTCTGAGAAGTGTCTGTTCATATCCTTCACCCACTTTTTGATGGGGTTGTTTTTTTCTTGTAAATTTGTTTGAGTGCTTTGTAGATTCTGGATATTAGCCCTTTGTCAGATGAGTAGATTGCAAAAATTTTCTCCCATTCTGTAGGTTGCCTGTTCACTCTGATGGTAGTTTCTTTTGCTGTGCAGAAGCTCTTTAGTTTAATTAGATCCCATTTGTCAATTTTGCTTATGTTGCCATTGCTTTTGGTGTTTTAGACATGAAGTCCTTGCCCATGCCTATGTCCTGAATGGTATTGCCTAGGTTTTCTTCTAGGGTTTTTATGGTTTTAGGTCTAACATGTAAGTCTTTAATCCATCTTGAATTAATTTTTGTATAAGGTGTAAGGAACGGATCCAGTTTCAGCTTTCTACATTTGGCTAGCCAGTTTTCCCAGCACCATTTATTAAATAGGGAATCCTTTCCCCATTGCTTGTTTTTGTCAGGTTTGTCAAAGATCAGATGGTTGTAGATGTGTGGCATTATTTCTGAGGGCTCTGTTCTGTTCCAGTGGTCTATATCTCTGTTTTGATACCAGTACCATGCTGGTTTGGTTACTGTAGCCTTGTAGTATAGTTTGAAGTCAGGTAGCATGATGCCTCCAGCTTTGTTCTTTTGGCTTAGGATTGACTTGGCAATGTGGGCTCTTTTTTGGTTCCATATGAACTTTAAAGTAGTTATTTCCAATTCTGTGAAGAAAGTCATGGTAGCTTGATAGGGATGGCATTGAATCTATAAATTACCTTGGGCAGTATGGCCATTTTCATGATATTGATTCTTCCTATCCATGAGCATGGAATAAATGTTCTTCCATTTGTTTATGTTCTCTTTTATTTTGTTGAGCAGTGGTTTGTAGTTCTCCTTGAAGAGGTCCTTCACATCCCTTGTAAGTTGGATTCCTAGGTATTTTATTCTCTTTGTAGCAATTGTGAATGGGAGTTCACTCATGATTTGGCTCTCTATTTGTCTGTTATTGGTGTATAAGAATGCTTGTGATTTTTGCACATTGATTTTATGTCCTGAGACTTTGCTGAATTTGCTTACCAGCTTAAGGAGAATTTGGACTGAGACGGTGGGGTTTTCTAAATACACAATCATGTCATGTGCAAACAGGGACAATTTGAGTTCTTCTTTTCCTAATTGAATACCCTTTATTTCTTTCTCCTGCCTGATTGCCCTGGCCAGAACTTCCAACATTATGTTGAATAGGAGTGGTGAGAGAGGGCATCCCTGTCTTGTGCCAGTTTTTAAAGAGAATGCTTCCAGTTTTTGCCCATTCAGTATGATATTGGCTGTGGGTTTGTCATAAATAGCTATTATTGTTTTGAGATACGTCCCATCAATACCTAATTTGTTGAGAGTTTTTAGCATGAGGGGCAGTTGAATTTTGCCAAAGGCCTTTTCTGCATCTATTGAGATGATCATGTGGTTTTTGTCTTTGGTTCTGTTTATATGCTGGATTACGTTTATTGATTTGCGTATGTTGAACCAGCCTTGTATCCCAGGGATGAAGCCCACTTGATCATGTTGGATAAGCTTTTTGATGTGCTGCTGGACTCCCACACAATAATAATGGGAGACTCTAACACCCCACTGTCAACATTGGACAGATCAACGAGACAGAAAGTTAACAAAGATATCCAGGAATTGAACTCAGCTCTGCACCAAGAAGACCTAATAGACATCTACAGAACTCTCCACCCCAGCTTTGTTCTTTTTGCTCAGGATTGCTTTGGCTATTCAGGGTCTTTTATGGTTTCATACCAATTTTAGGATTATTTTTTCTATTTTTGTGATGAATGTCATTGGTATTTTGATAGAGATTGCGTTGAATCTATAGATCACTGTTGGTAGCATGTTCATTTTTACAATATTACTTCTTTTTCTTTATTTTATTTGGTTTTTTTTTTTTTTTTTTTGAGACGGAGTTTCGCTCTTGTTGCTCAGGCTGGAGTGCAATGGCACAATCTCGGCTCACCGCAACCTCTCGCCTCCTGGGTTCAAGCGGTTCTCCTGCCTCAGCCTCTTGAGTAGCTGGGATTACAGGCATGTGCCACCATGCCCGGCTAATTTTGTGTTTTTAGTAGAGACAGGGTTTCTCCATGTTGTTCAGGCTGGTCTCTAACTCCTGACCTCAGGTGATCCGCCCACCTCGGCCTCCCAAAGTGCTGGGATTACAGGCATGAGCCACTGTGCCTGGCCAATATTATTTCTTTCAATTCATAAACATAGGATGTGTTTCCATTTGTTTGTGTCCTCTTCAATTTCTTTCATCAGTTTTTTAGCTTGTTTGTGTAGAGATCTTTCACCCACTTGGTTAAATTTATTTCTAGGTACAGTTGATCCTTGAACAGTATGAGTATTTGGTGTATTGCTCCTGCATGCTGTTGAACATTTAGGTGTAACTTTTGACTTGCCAAAAACTTAATTACTAACTAATAAGCTACTGTTGACTGGAATCCTTAACAATGACATAAACAGTTGACTAACACATATTTTACATACGTATTACATACTGTATTCTTGAAATAAAGTAAACTAGAGAAAAGAAAGTATTATTAAGAATAACAAAATTAAGAAAAAGAAAAATATTTACTATTCACTAAGTCAAAGTAGATCAAGATATAAGTCTTTATGCTTTTCATCTTCACATTGAATAGGCTGATGAGGAGGCGGAGGAAGAGGAAAAGGAGTTGGTTTTGCTGTCTCAGGAGTGGCAGAGGCAGAGAAGAGTTGTCAGGGAGGTAGAAGAGGCAGGCACACTCAAGTGTAACATTTATGGAAAAAAGTCTGCATGCATGTAAGTAGACCCATGCAGTTCAAGTCTGTATTGTTCAAGGGTCTAACTGAATTTTATTTTTGTATGTAGCTGCCATAAAATGGATTGCTTTTTCAGTTTCTTTTTCCACTAGTTTATTGCTGATGTTTAGAAATGGTACTTATTTTTTACCTTGATTTTCTGTCCTGCAAAAGTACTCAACTTGTTCATCAGTTCTAAGAGTCTTTGAGGGGAGTCTTTACTGTTTTCTATATGTCGTCTACAACATGGGAGATGAACGGGAACAAATTTGGATAGTCCTTTCCAATTTGGATGCCCTTTAATTCTTTCTCTTGCCTAATTGTTATGACTGGGACTTCCAGTACTGTGTTGAATGAAAGTTGTGAAAGTCCTTTGCAGGGACATGGATGAAGCTGGAAACCATCATTATCAGCAAAATATCACAAGGACAGAAAACCAAACACCGCATGTTCTCACTCATAAGTGGGAGTTTAACAATGAGAACACATGGACGCAGGGAGTGGAACATCACACACCGGGGCCTGTCGGGGGGTGGGGGGCTGGGGGAGGGATAGCATTAGTAAAAATACTTAATGTAAATGACCAGTTGATGGGTGCAGCAAACCAACATGGCACATGTATACCTGTGTAACACACCTGCATATTGTGCACATGTACCCTAGAACTTAAAGTATAATTTTTTAAAAAAAGAAAAAGAAAGTGGTAAAAGTGAGCATCTTTTTTTTGTTCCAGAACTTAGAGGAAAAGCTTTTAACTTTTCCCAAGTCAGTGTGATGTTGGCTGTGGGTTTACTGTATATGGCTTTTGTTGTGTTGAAGTACATTCCTTCTGTATCTAACTTGGTGAGAGTTTTTATCAGGAAGGGATGTTGAATTTTATTACATGCTTTTTCTATGTTTATTGAAATGATTATATTGTTTTTGTCCTTCATTCCATTGATGTGATGTGTCATATTTATTGATTTGCATATGCTAAACCATCCCATTTATCTCACCCATTTATGCCTGGGATAAATCCTACTTGATGATGGTGAATTATCTTTTTAATATGCTGCTGGATTCTGTTTGCTAGTATGTGGTTGGTAATTTTTGCTTCTATGTTCATCAGGGATGTTGGTCTGTAGTTTTTGCATTTGAGTCCTTGGTCTAGTTTTAGTATCAGGGTAATGCTGGCCTCTTAGAATGAGTTTTGAAGAATTGCCTCCTTCTCAATTTTCTGGAAGTTTTAGACATATTGATTTTAATTCTGCTTTAAATGTTTGATAGAATTCAACAGTGAAGCCATAGGGTCCCAGGCTTTTTTAAAATTACAAATTTAGTCACGTTAATTTTCAATTGGTTTGTTGGGGTTTTTCATTTCTTCTTGGCTCAGTTGTGGTAGGTTGTTTGTGTCCAGGACCATTTCTGCTAGGTTTTCTAATTTGTTGGCGTATAGTTGTTCATAATAGTCTTTAATGATTTTTATTTATGTGGTATCAATTTTTTGTGTCATTTTTCCATTCTGATTTTATTTATTTGAGTCTTTTTTTATCTTGGTTTATTTGGGTCTTTTCTCTTTTTGTCTTCGTTGGTCTAGCTAGTAGTTTGGCAATTTTATTGATCTTTTCATAAAACCAACTTTTTGACTTTTTTTATATGTTGTATTTTTTTCTCAATTTTACTTATTTCAGCTTGGATATTTTTTATTTTTTCTACTAATTCTTACAGTTTGTTCTTGATTTTCTTGTTCCTTAAGTTAGCTTGTTAGGCTATTTGAAAATTTTCTACTTAATGTTGAGGTTTATTGCTATAAACTTCTCTCTTACTATAGTTTGTGATGTATCTCATATTTTTTGGTATGTTGTGTTTCTCTTTTCATTTGTTTCAAGAAATTTGAAATTTTTTTCTTAATTTTTTTATTGACCCACGTTCATTGTAGAACATGTTCTTCAATTTCCCTATATTCTCACAGTTTCAGTAGTTCCTTTTGTTGATTTCTAGTTTTATTTAATTTTGGCCAGAAAAGATACTTAATATGACTTCAATTCTTTTAGATTTGTTGAGCCTTGTTTTGTGACCTAATATGTGGTCTGTTCTGGAGAATATTCCATGTGCTGATGAAAAGTATGTGTATTCTGCTGCATTTGGGTGATATTTTCTCTAAAGGTTTGTTAGGTTCATTTGGTCTGAAGAACAGTTTAAATTAAATGACCTCTGTCACATGTTGAGAGTGGAGTGTTGAAGTCCCCATCTATTATTGTATCAGAATTTATTCCTTCCTTTAAATCTAACAATATTTGCTTCATATATCTGGGTGCTCCAATGTTGGGTGCATATTATATTTACATTTGTTATCTCCTTTACTGAATTAATATCTTTATCATTATGTAATGACCTTCTTTGTTTCTTTTTAGTTGTTTTTTGTTTTTATGTTTGTTTGAGACACAGCCTCACTCCCTCGGTTTGTGTAAGTACACTCTATGAAGGTCACATAAGGTTGAAATAACCTGAGGATGCATTTCTCAGAATGTATCCCTGTGGTTCAGTGACATTTGACTGTAATGAGTGGCAAAGCAGTAAACCTTGGTCTGTATTATTCGAACTCCTATATGCTGACTCACTTACGTATTTCAGTGAAAACCCAAAGATTTTTATTTAGTGTTGAAGGCCTAAACCTCATTTAAAATTAAGTATAGGCTGGGTACAGTGGCTCACACCTATAATCCTGGCACTTTGGGAGACTGAGGTGGGAGGATCAGTTGAGCCCAGTAATTTGAGACCAGGCTAGGCAACATAGTGAGACACTGTCTCTACAATTTTTATTTTTTTTTTTTATTTTTAGATGGAGTCTCACTCTGTCACCAGGCTGAAGTGCAGTGGCGCAATCTCGGCTCACTGCAACGACCGCCTCCTGGGTTCAAGCGATTCTCCTGCCTCAGCCTCCCGAGTAGCTGGGATTACAGGCACTCCCCACCACACCCAGCTAATTTTTGTATTTTCGGTAGAGACAAGGTTTCACCGTGATGGCCAGGATGGTCTCGATCTCCTGACCCTGTGATTCACCTGCCTTGGCCTCCCAAAGTGCTGGGATTACAGGTGTGAGCCACTGCACCTGACCCATGAACATTTTTAAGTGATTAAAAAAAATTTTTAATGAATATTTTATAGTACATGAAAATTATATTTCAGTGTCTATAAATAGTTTTGTTAGGGAACACAGCCATGCATAGTGTTTACCTACTATTCATGGCTGCTTTTGAATTATAATAGCAGAGATGATAAGTTGTAACAAGGATCATTTGGCCCACTAAGCTGAAAATGTTTATTATCCAGTCGTTTACAGAAAACGTTGCTGACAATCAGATATAGAGGATAGACTACAAAGTGAGCTAAATAATTTATCAGTATTCTGTTCAAGATAGTGTACACTGGGAGATTTTCAGAACTTTCTCTGATTGACATAGAATGGAAGCCAAAATTAAGATATAGGGTCTGCAGAAAACAAAACTAAACAAACAATAGCAAAAACTATCCAGTACTTTGGTTAGCAACCTCTAATCCAAAAAAGATAATAAAAGCTAGATAGCATTTTTCTTTTTCTATGTTTGACAATAAAATCAAATTCGGATTTGTCCATAAAACTCCTGAAATTCTATGCAAAATATATTTGTGAGCAAATGTTTGTTTTTCTGGGGCGAAAGTCCTTAGTTTTCCTTTGATTTTCTGTGGGTTTTGCAGATGCAAATAGGTTAAGGATTACTAATATATATAGTTAACTCCCAAATAAAGAGGTTTGAATATATCTTTACTTTACCTGCTAACCTTCTTATAGTCCTGGGTGCTTTCTGTTATTTACCTCCTGACTGTAAAACATGCAATTTTTATTACTATTTTCTGACACACTTCATTGTCATATGCTCTGGTCATTAGGTATAAGTTTACATGGAAGGAGTGAGGAGTATGATGAGGTACTAACATTTATCAACTACCTGCTAGGAACTAAACAGGTGCTTTATGCCTAGTTTTTAATATGATGTTTCATAATTCTGTTAGACATGCTGAGTAATTTGAAATTCAGAGAAGTTAAATATCTGCAGATACACTATCTGTAGATTCTCTAGTAGTAGGCCTGGGACTCCAACCTACGTCTCTCTAATAAGTCCTAAATTATCCTGGCTCCTCTATACAACCAGGAGAGAGAACACAGAAAGCAAGTGGGGAACACAGATGTCTACCTTTTTTTCTTATCGAACAGTTTTCTATAATATTTGCTATTTCTAATTACCATTTTTATATGACCATTGGTGCATATAAACTATATGACATTTTGGTCTCTATGAGCATTAAAAGGATAAAGACATTGTATTAGATTGCTTGAATTGAATGGCTTGTATTGTTGTTATGAAATACCAAAGAAATCTTTATAATATTTGGAATTAAAATATTACCAAGGAAGTAACCCTGAACTGAAGCTTATATAGAGCACTTGTTTGAATTATAGTGTTATATTTTTTATGTTTATTCATACTAGGTAGTAATTCTCTAACCTTATGATTTCATAGCTTCATTGCACTTTAAAAAATTATAAGCATGGCATTGAACTATTGTTTATGTGGGTAACATCTATTGATATTTACTATGTTAAAGAATAAAATTATTTAATTCACATAAAATATAAATAAGCCCACTACATATTAAAATAAATAATATAATGAAAAATAGCTGTATATTTCAAAACTCCCAAAATAGTCAAAATATTAACAGTTTTTTTACATTTTATAAATCTCTATAATCTCTGGCTTAATAAAAGATAGCTAAATTTTCAAATAACTGTTTCTACGTTTAATCTGTTGTAATATGTTTTTGTTGAAATTTGTGAGGAAAATTATGCTTGGAACAATTATGTAACTTGGAAGGAATATTTTAATAACTTTTTCTAATGAATATGGATATTATTTGTTTTGCTATTTTACTCAAACTGGACAATAATGATAGACAGTTTCTTAAAGGTAAGTGTAGTAGTCAGAGTTCTCCAAGAAACAGAACCAATGATTGATTGATTGATAGATAGATAGGTAGATACATACATACATATATACATACGGGATTTATTAGGAGAATTGACTCATGCAGTTATGGAGGCTGAGGACTTTCCTGACTGGCCATCTGTAAGCTGGAATTCTGATGTCTTAGGACAAGAGAAATTTATATCCCAGCTCCAGAAGAGAGAGGAAATAGCCTATTTGCTCTATTTCGGTCCCCTCTAATTGGGTAGGTCTGCCCACATTGAGGGCAGATCTTACTTACTCAGCCTATGGACTCACTTGTGAATCTCCTCTGGAAACATTCTCACAAGCATACACAGAAATAATGCTTTATCAGTACTCTGTATAATCCTTCAACCAGTCAAGGTGGCACCAAAAATTAATCATCATAATAAGTAACATTGTGGAATTCAAAGCCATATTAAGGACATTTTCATAATACTCTGTTAAGTTAAAATCTATTGGTCCACCAGAGTAGCCAATACAATATTGAAGAATAAGAAAAAAGTTGGAGGACTTGACACTATACAGCTTCAAGATTTATTATAAAGCTGTGGTGATAGGGGCAGTGTAGTATTGGCAAAATAGACAAATAGATCAAGGAAAAAGAATAGAGAGCCCAGAAATAGACCCATATAAATATAGTTGCTGTGGTCTGAATGTATATATCTGCCCAGAATTCATATGTTGAAGCTTAACCCCCGATGTGAGGGCGTTTGAAGGATGAGGCCTTTGGGAGGTGATTTAGTCATGAGGGCAGAGACCTCATGAATTGGATTAGTGTCCCTAATAAAAGAGGCCTGAGACAGGCCCCTTTCCCCTACCACCATATGCGATTATAGCCAGAAGACAGACATCTATCAATCAGGAAGTAGGCCTTCACCTGAATTTCTTGGCACCTTGATCTTGGACTTCCAGACCTGCAGAACAGTGAGAAATAAACTTCTTTTGTTTATCAGCCACCCAGTCCATGGTATTTTTTAAATAGCAGCTCAAATAGACTTAAGACAATGTTCAACTGGTCTTTGAAAAAGGAATAAACAAAATACAATGGAGCAAAGATAGTTTTTTTAACAAATGGTGCTGGAACACCTGGACATCTGCATGCTTTAAAAAATTGAATCTGGACGTAGACCTTACACCCTTAAAAAAGTTAATTCAAAGTGGATCATAGGACTACATATAAAACACAAAACTATAAAACTGCCAGACAATAATATAGGAGAAAGCCTAGGTAACCTTGGGTATGGCAGTGATTTTCAGCTCTAAAGGTACCATCCACAAAAGAAAATATTGGTAAGCTGGGCTTCATTAAAAACTCTGCTCTACAAACACAATGCCATGAAATGAAAAGAGAAGCCACAGACTGGGAGAAATATTTTCAAAAGACGCATCTGATAATGTACTATTACTTAAAAATATACAAGAACTCCTAAAACTCAGCAATAAGAAAATGAACAACCCTAGGCCGAGCGCAGTGGCTCACGCCTGTAATCCCAACACTTTGGGAGGCCAAGGCAGGTGGATCACTTAAGGTCAGGAGTTCATGACCAAGCCTGGCCAACTTGGTGAAACCCCATCTCTACCAAAAATACAAAAATTAGCCATGCGCGGTGGTGCACGACTGTAATCCCAACTACTCAGGAGGCTGAGGCAGGAGAATGGCTTGAACCCAGGAGGCGGAGGTTTCAGTGAGCCGAGAACATGCCACACTGCACTGCAGCCTGGGCAACAGAGCAAGACTCTGTCTTAAAAAAATAAATAAATAAAAATAAAAATAAAAATAAACTCTATTGAAAAGTGGGCCAAAGACCTTAACAAACACCTCACCAAAGAAGATATACAGATGTCAAATAAGTATATAAAAAGATGTTCTACATTTTATGTCATCATGGAAATGCAAATTAAAACAACAGTGAAATATTACTACATATCTATTAGAATGGTCATAATCTGGAATACTGACAATACCAAGTGCTGATGAGGATGTGGGGCAAGAAACTCTCATTAATTGCTGGTGGGAATGCAAGATGGCATAGCCACTTTGGAGGACAGTTCAGTGGTTTTTTAACATGCATTCCAGCAGTTTTGCCCCTTGGTATTTATCCAAATGTGTTGAAAATGTACATCCACACAAAAATCTGCACATAGATTTTTATAGAAACTTTATAAATGACAAAACTTGGAAGCAACCAAGATAACCTTCAGTGGGTGAATGGATAAGTAAACTGTGGTACATCCAGATAATGGAATATTATTCAGTGCCAAAAAGAAATGAGCTATCAAACTATGAGAAGATAAGAAGGAAACTTAAATGCATATTACTACATCAAAGCAGCCAATCTGCAAAAGCTACACATTGTAAGTATCCAGCTATATGACTTTCTGGAAAAGGCAAAACTATGAAGATAGTAAAAGAATCAGTGCTTGCCAGAGGTTAGAGAGGAGGAAGGGATGAGCAGGCAGAGTACAGAGGATTTTTAGGGCAGTAAAACTACTCTGAATGATACTACAATGAAGGAAACATGTTATGATGCATTGTCTAAACCATAGAATATACAACACTGAAAATGAACCCTAATGTAAACTGTGGACTTTGGGTGATAATGATGTGTCAGTGGAGGTTTATCAGTGGTAATAAATGTGCCACTTCGTTGGGGTATGTTGATAATGGGAGAAGCTATGCATATTGCAGTACAAGGGATATATGGGAAATTATATGGAAAAATTTCTCACTTCCTAAAGATGCTATGAATTTCTTTTTCCTTTAAAGAAGTTTATGCAGATTTGTGGTTATCTCATAAACAAAATTAACCATAAAAGAGTAATCCTCATTAGAAAAATATTTAAGTCACGTTTTTAAAGTCTGCTCAATTTTGCTGTAAACCTGAAACTAATCTAAAAATGTAAAGTTTTGTTTTACTATCCATTAGCCTTGAGTCTTCCAATTCTGGAAAGATGGAGTAAATGTACTTTGGTCTATTCCTCATGCTAAGTACAACTGAAAGTCCTAAGAAATAATGTGGTGGTGTGTTCTTGTTTTTGTGTGTGTGCCTCATATATTTTATACTTGGAGCTGAAGCAGCTGACAACCTAGAAATATCGAAAGACACTGACAAATAGCTTCAACAAAAGCTTTCTCTGTTTAGCCAAAGGGCGTAGAAACCATACCAAGTCAGAAAGCTTATACTATAACCACCCTACTCCTGCCAAACACTACAGAAAAACTGTGGTCCTACACCAACCCATGCCAGCAAAAGTTGAGTGGGGAGCCTGGATTCTCACCCTCACTAGACTGTGATGAAGTACCCCAATTTGTGGTCCCCTGAAAGGGTCTCAGAACCTCTGGTATTCAAGATCACAGCTTTGAGACTTTAAGCTTTACTACTAAATGAGTTAAATTTCTCACTTCCTAAAGATGCTATGAATTTATTTTGTTTTTCCTTTTAAGAAATGTATGTAGATTTGTGGTTTATCACGTAAAATTAACCATAAAAGAGTAGTCCTCATTAGAAAAATATTTAAGTCACTTTTTAAAAAAGTCTGAATAGTTGAAGTTTATTTTTCACCAAGTGATAATTTATTTTTGTCAATTTTGTGGGAAAGTAATGACTTATTATCTGTTTATAAACAAAATTTCTACACACTAATATTTTACATTTGAATACATGTGTAAATTTCTTTACTCCTATATTTGTCCCTCACAGGAATCCACATCTTCACCTCATCTTTTAATAAGTATTAGTATGTTTTGTTGACTACTGAGGCATTTTATAGTTAATCTACTTAAATATTAGTTGGATTTATACCAAAAAGTTATCTAAAATAATATTGTCAATGATGAATTGTATTAAACAAATGTGTTTGACTACTCTGTAATTCAGCATTTATAATTTGCCTTAGTTATGTAGTACGTTGTGTGACTTCACAGTATCAGGTTTTGTGAACTTCTGTAAGCATCCTTTCTGAGAAAGCCAATGGGAAAAGTATAATTTTTTACTACTTGTAATTTTGGATAATTGTTGTATATAAGAATGTTTACTATTAAAGGCACAAGATGAAATGTAGACTCAACAGTATTGAATGATGTTAAGAACAAATTAGATTGGAGATACTGGTGTAGTGTTTTTCTCTGGCTTCTGTCATGTGAACTTTCATTCTTATATTGGATAGATGGTGGATATTTAAAAGTATGGTCTAATCTAGGGGTTGGCAAACTATGATCCACAGGTCAAATCTGGCCTGCTACTTGCCTTTTTTTTTTTTCTTTTTTCTTTTTTCTTTTCTTTTTTTTTTGAGATGAGGTCTACCTCTTTCACTCAGGCTGGAGTGCAGTGGTGCAATCATGGCTTACTGCTGCTTCTGCCTCCCAGGTTCCAGTGATCATCTCACTTCAGCTTCCCAAGTAGCTGGGACTACAGGCATGTGCCACCACAGCTGGCTACTTTTTACAATTATTATTTATTGTAGAGAGAGGATCTCTCCATGTTGCCCAGGCTGGTCTCAAACTCCTGGGCATAAGAGATCCTCCTGCCTCAGCCTCCCAAAGTGCTGGGAATGAGCCACTGTGCCCAGCCTGCTGCCTGGTTTTATAAATAATATTTTCATCTTATGAAATTGAAAAATATGACCCATTCGAAAGCACTTTGGAAATTGTGAAATAAATATTTATTAAATGACTAATTTCAAGTATCACAAATAGTTATTTAAATAATAATACATTATACAGAAAATATATGGATTTTGCCTGAAATTTCATCACAAGTTAAAAAATACATTTTGAAAAGGGATATGATGAATTTTGTTAATGTTAGTCTTTAAACTGAGTCATTCTGCTTGAGCATTTCAAAATGGAGAAAAAGGTTAAATACTTGCTGAATAAGATTTGTCCTCTGATTTGCTTCTGGTCTGTCACTATTTTGTAGATAACTTGAAATCTGTGTGAAATTACAGAATTCATAGGTAAAAAGGGGATGTAATATTTTTTGGAGAAAATTGAACTATATGTTCAGTGAATGTAAACTCTTCTTACTGATGTTGTCATACTCTTTTAAAAGTAGCAGATACCTGGGACTAATTATTCAGGATTTATTCTGAATCAGGGAAATCCAGTGCTTATGTTTACTCAATAAAACTGCTATTTTAAAAGAAATATTTTTATCTTTGGAAAGACAATGATACATGAAAATTGAAGTTTTGTTAGAACACAGTCTTACTCATTCACCTATGTATTACCTATGGGTGGTTTCACTGTACAACAGCAGAGTTGAGTAGTTTCATATGTCACTCAAAGCCAGAAATACAGTCATCCATCCTTTGGTATGTGTTGGGGATTGTTCCAGGACCTCTGCATATACCAAAATCTGCATATACTCAGTCCCTCCATTCGGCTCTGGGGAACCTGCATGTATACAAAACATTGGCCCTCCATATATGCGGGTTTTGCATTTCATTAATTTGATCTATGTTTGGTTGAAAAAAATCTGCAGATAAGTGGAACCAAGGAGTTCAAACTTGTGTTGTTCAAGGGTAAACTGCATTTTGACTGTCTTTACAGAAAAAGTTTATTGACCCGTGGTGTAGATAAGAAATCATTGTGACCTGAGTGAGAATATTAGTCAATGTAACTCTTCAAGGTAATGAAAAGAGTACTGAGCTATGATTTAAACTTAACTGCAGAGAAGTCTAGCATATTCCAGTTATCAGCAGTGTAGCATGATAACTAAATTACTTGACCTTTCAGAATCTTAGTTTTCTCAATTGTTAAATGAACATACTGATACTATTCTACTCACTTCACAGTCTTAAAAGGGATAGCATTAGGAGATATATCTAATGCTAAATGATGAGTTAATGGGTGCAGCACACCAACATGGCACATGTATACATATGTAACAAACCTGCACATTGTGCACATGTACCCTAAAACTTAAAGTATAATAATAATTAAAATAAATAAATAAAAGAAAATAATTTAAAAATAATAAAAGGTAAGTGATGATAATATTATATTAAATATGGTGATAGAATTGCTGGATAATTTAATCAGGGAATGCTAAAAAGATAGTGACTCGATGTTGATAATTTCATAAGCTTTTCATTATGTCTTTGTGAGTATATAGTTCATTAGAATTGTTATAAGAAGTTGTTGTTGAATAATTTCAGGTCAATGTGGAAGATGTCTGGTATTTTAAAGTATTCTGTTTTAGAACAAAATCCAGCTTTTTAATAGCGCATGCAAGACCAGTAATGATCTGATTACTTCCTGGCTCTTCAACTTCACCTCTCACTATTTGCTGTTTTTATACTATTTGTATAAATGATGGAATTAGAGAGAGAAAGGCTAAGATAATAGGAGTGAAAGAAACATCTATGCCAGACAGAAGTAAACTATGGCTGTGTTTGCCATGATTTGTTTTTACAATCTGGTTGTTTACAGAAACAAAGCAACAAAAACTAAATATGAAATTAAATAATGAAGAAGCTATGCCGAAGGATGTTTAAAATTTGAAAAAACAACTTTATAAGAACCTTTATGTTTTCTTATGACTGGATAACTACTATTTTTTTAAACTAATCTTAATTTTAGAGACTATAAAAGGAGAGAGATTACATATAGGAACTTTTCCTTTTGGAAACAATTAAAATTGTGTGTCTTATACGGGCTATTCAACATGATATAAATGTGGAAAATCTACTTACAGAAAAATTTCTGAGGTTATAGTGTTAAATGTTTTCTATTTCTGTAGAGGATATTCAAAGAAAAATTGGTATCAGTAAAATGGACAACTGCACAAAACCCTATTTGTTTTTAGGGGAGGAGGTGAGAGATTGAGGTGGGACTATACATTTTCAAAGAGAGAGGCACTTAGCTACTAGAAATTTAACGAATATTTTATTTTTGACACACATACTGGAATTTCTAAACTGTGTGAGAGAAGTAAAATAATTTTACAGTTAAAATTATATGAAAGAAGTAGATTTGTGATTTAGATTTAGAGGGAAAACCTAACAGTAATACATGTACGCATGTTGGCTGTTGCTGTTTTGAATTTATTTCTCCCTTATGATCTAATTTAAATTTGTATTTTTTTACTTAGTAAATTATTGGTCTGGGACAACTCGGGGATGAAGGATTTTACTTAATTTTTCTAAATTAGCACTTCTGCTATTGTCTTTGCATTTATTATTCATCCTAGAATAGAACAAATATCCAGTTAAAAATCTTTATTATGACCGGATGCAGTGGCTCACTCCTGTAATCCCAGCACCTTGGGGGCCGAGGCGGGTGGATCATGAGGTCAAGAGATCGAGACCATCCTGGCCAACATGGTGAAACCCCGTCTCTACTAAAAATACAAAAATTAGCTGGGCGTGGTGGCGTGCGCCTATAGTCCCAGCTACTTGGGAAGCTGAGGCAGGAGAATCGCTTGAATCCGGAGACAGGGGTTGCAGTGAGCCAAGATTGCACCACTGCACTCCAGCCTGGCAACAGAGCAAGACACCATCTAAAAAAAAAAACTATATTATTTCTCAATTATTTTTATTTCAGTTATATCACAACTATTTGAAATTTGCTTATGAAGCTACCAAAGAGTACATGCACAGAAAGGAAACCTTATGCTTGCCCTGCCCTGCCATCCAGTTTTCCTTCCCTAAAAGCAACCTCTGTTACAGAGGTTATCTGTGCATGCGCACATGTGCACACACACAAATGTGAATGTACAGATACATATATACATATGTATATATGCATATTTACATATGCATGTAAGTGCAATATGTACATATTACACATTTGAATAAAAATACATCTTACAAAAATGTATACTGTTGTGCATATTTCTCTTTTTTTTACAATATCTCAAATATGTTTCATATCTAAACAGACATCACTTTTTAATAGCTGCATAGCATCTTGTTTATTTATAACTAATACATAATAACTGTACATTTGGGTGCGGCCATGATGGCTGACTAGAAACAGTAGCAATTGGATGCTCCCATCAAAAAGAACCATAATAAGTGTGTGAAACCTTCACCTGCAACCAAGGTATTCAGGCTGTCTAATCAGAAATGACTAGGTGGCTGGTGTGATCCACGGAGAGAAAGGAAGAGCAATGTGGTGTGGCAGCCCACTTGGGAGCCACACAGGGCAGGGTAGCCCCTACCCCGCAGCCAAGGGAAGACAGTGAGTGAGCCTGCTAACCAGCTGGGGAAACTGCTTTTTCCACGGAACTGTGCCACCCATGGATCAGAAGATCACACTCGTGAACCTACGCTACCAGGGCCTAACATTTCAACCCCAGAGCCATGTAGATTCTCAACAGCCTCTCAGCTAGAATCTACTTAAGCCTACCAAGCTCCTGGGGGGAGGGGCGACCAACACCACAGCTATGGCTGCCTACTGTCTAAGCCATTTGAGATCCTTGGGGTAGGGGCAGCAGCCAGCACTGAGACTCACGACTGCCTAGCATGCTAAGCTCCCTGGGCGGGGGAAGGGTGGCATCCATCTCTATAGCTCCAGGCTGTACTTCTCCCCTCCTGGAGCCAGGGAGGCTGGACAGCTTGGTCCCAAGACATGTCCTCCACAGCCCAACACACCAGCTGTGGCAGACTGCGGCCACAGTGCCTCTTCAGGTGTGACCATGACTCATCCTTCCTCACTGGGTGGGGCTTCCCTGCAGGAACTCCAAAAACTCCAGCCAGAGGCTCAGGGACAGAACCCAGATCTCCCTGGGCTTGAACCCCTAGGGGAAGGAGTCGCCACAGTCTCTGTGGACCAGCAGACTTTGCCTTTCCTCCTGGTAGTTTTGGGGAATCCAGGCAGCCCAGACGAGTGGGTTTTCCCCCAGTGAAGCACAGCCCTTCCCCCAAGGGACAATCTAAGTACTTCATTAAACAGGTCCTGTTCCCTGTGCCACCCAACTGGGTGAGACCCTCCAAAAGGGATTGTCAAAAACCCTATACAGGAGCGATCCTACTGGCATCAGATTGGTGTCCCTTGAGATCAGAGATCCCAGAAGAAGGAGCAGGCACCCATCTTTGCTGTTCTCCAGCCTCCTTGAGACATCTCCAGATGTGAGAGCGAACCAAATGAATAGGGCCTGAAGTGAACCCCCAGCAAACCACAGCAGCCATATAGAAGAGGGACCTGACCATTGAAAAACAATTAAAGAGAAAACAACAACAACAGCATCGACAACAACAACAAAAAGCCGTCATGAAAACCCCATCCAAGGGTCAGCATCCTCAAAGATTGAAATTAGACAAACTCATGAAGATGAGAAAGAATCAATGAAAAAATGCTGAAAACCCAAAAGGCCAGAGTGCATCTTCTCCAAATGATTATAACAACAGCAAGGAACCTGATAGAGGATGAGATGGACAAACTAACAGGAGTAGTCTTCAGAAGATGGGTAATAAAAAACTACATGGAGCTAAAGGAGCATGTTCTAACCCAATGCAACAAAGATAAGAACGTTGATAAAAGGTTAGAGGAGCTGCCAACTAGAATAACCAATTTAGAAAGGAGCATAAATGACCCTATGGAGCTAAAAAACACAGCATGAGAACTTCATGAAGCATACACAAGAATCAATAGCCGAATCGACCAAGTGGAAGAAGGGATATCAGTTTGAAGACCACGTTGCTGAAATAAGGCATGCAGACAAGAGTAGAGATAAAAGAATGAAAAGGAATGAACAAAACCTCCAAGAAATATGGGACTTCAGCGTTTAAAAAGACCAAATCTATGATTAACTGGAATACCTGAAGGAGATGGGGAGAACAGAAAGAAGCTGGAAAACACACTTCAGGATAATATCCAGGAGAACCTCCCCAACTTAACAAGACAGGCCAACATGCAAATTCAGGAAATACAGAGAACACCACTAAGATACTCCACAAGATCAACCCAAAGACACATAATCATCAGATTCTCCAAGGACAAAATGAAGGAAAAAGTATTAAGGACAGCCAGAGAGAAAGGCCAGGTCACCTACAAAGGAAGCCCGTTGGAATAATAGCGTAACTCTCAGCAGAAACCCTACAAGCCAGAAGAGATTGGGGGCCAATATTCAACATTCTTAAAGAAAATAATTTTAAACGCAGAATTTCATATCTAGCCAAACTAAACTTCATAAGCAAAGGAGATCCTTTCCAGAGAAGCAAATGCTGAGGGATTTTGTTACCACCAGGACTGCCTTGCAAGAGCTCCTGAAAGAAGCACTAAATACGGAAAGGAAAAACCGGTATCAGCCACTGCACAAACACTCCAAAATGTAAGGACCAATGACACTATCAAGAAACTGCATCAACTAGTGTGCAAAATAACCAGGTAGCATCATGATGACAGGATCAAATTCACACATAATAATACTGACCTTAAATGTAAATGGGCTAAATGCCCCAATTAAAAACACAGATTGGCAAATTAATAAATTTTCAAGACCTATTGGTGTGCTGTATTCAGGAGGCCTATCTCAAGTGCAAAGACCCACATAGGTTCAAAATAAAAGGATGGAGGAAAATACACCAAGCAAATGGAAAGCCAAAAAAAAAAAGAAAGAAAGAAAAAAAGAAAAAAAAAAGGGCAGGAGTTGCAATCCTAGACTCTGACAAAACAGAGTTTAAACCAACAAAGATCAAAAAAAGACAAAGAAGGGCATTACATAATGGTAAAGGGACCAATTCAACAAGAAGAGCTGACTATTCTAAATATATATGCACCCAATACAGGTGCACTCAGATTTATTAAACAAGTTGCTAGAGACCTGAAAAAAACTTAGACTCGCACACAATAATAGTGGGAGACTTTAACACCCCACTGTCAATATTAGATCAACAAGAGAGAAAATTAACAAGGATGTTCAGGACTTGAACTCATATCTGGATCAAATGGACCTAATAGACATCTACAGAATTCTCCACCCTAAATCAACAGAATATACGTTCATCTCGGTGCCGCATAGCACTTATTCTAAAATCAGCCACATAATTGGAAGTAAAACGCTCCTCAGCAAATGCAAAAGAACTGAAATCATAACAGTCTCTCACACCACAAGGTAATCAAGTTAGAACTCAGGATTAAGAAACTCACTCAAAACCACACAATTGCATGGAGGTTGAACAACCTGCTCCAGAATGACTCCTGGGTAAATAATGAAATTAAGGCAGAATTCAAGATGTTCTTTGAATCCATTGAGAACAAAGACACAACGTACCAGAAGCTCTGGTACACAGCTAAAGAAGTGTGAGAGAGAGAAACTTACGGCACTAAATGCCCACATCAGAAAGCTAGAAAAATCTCAGATCGACACCCTATCGTCACAATTTAAAAGAGCTAGAGACGCAAGAGCAAACTAATCCGAAAGCTAGTAGAAGACAAGAAATAACTAAGATCAGAGCAGAATTGAAGGAGATAGAGACACAAAAACCCCTCCAAAAAAATCAGTTAATCCAGGAGCTGGTCATTTGAAAAGATTAACACAGTAGATAGACTGCTAGCCAGACTAGTAAAGAAGAAAAGAGAGAAGAATCAAATAGACACAATAAAAAATGATAAAGGGGATATCACCACTGATCCAACAGAGATACAAACTACCATTAGAGAATACTATAAACACCTCTAGGCAAATAAACTAGAAAATCTAGAAGAAATGGATAAATTCCTGGACATGTACACCCTCCCAAGACTAAACCAGGAAGAAGTTGAATCCCTGAATTGACCAATAACAAGTTCTGAAATTGAGGCAGCAATTAATAGCATACTAACCAAAAAAAGCCCAGGACCAGATGAATTCACAGTGGAATTCTACCAGAAGTACAAAGAGGAGATGGTACCATTCCTTCTGAAATTATTCCAAACAGTTGAAAAGGAGGGACTCCTCCCTAACTCATTCAGTGAAGCCAGCATCATCCTGATACCAAAACCGGGAAGAGACACAACAAAAAAAGAAAACTTCAGGCCAATATCCCTGTTGAACATTGATGCAAAAATCATCGATAAAATACTGGCAAACCAAATCCAGCAGCACATCAAAAATGTTATCCACCATTATTAAGTTGGCTTCATCCCTGGGATGCAAGGCTGGTTCAACATACCCAAATCAATGAATGTAACCCATCACATAAACAGAACCAAAGACAAAACGCACATAATTATCTGAATAGATGCAGAAAAGGCCTCTGATAAAAGTCAAAATCCCTTCATATTAAAAACTCTAAATAAACTATGTATTGATGGAACATATCTCAAAATAATAAGAGCTATTTATGACAGACCCACAGCCAATAGCATACTGAATGGGCAAAAGCTAGAAGCATTCTTTTTAAAAACTGGTACAAGACAAGGATGCCCTATCTCACCACTTCTATTCAAGATAGTATTGTAAGTTCTGGCCAGGGCAATCAGGCAAGAGAAAAATAAAGTGTATTCACATAGGAAGAGAGGAAGTCAAATTGTCTCTGTTTGCAGACAATATGATTTTGTGTTTAGAAAATCCCATTGTCTCAGCCTAAAAACTCTTTAAATTATTAAGCAACTTCAGCAGAGTCTCAGGATACAAATCAATGTGCAAAAATCACAAGCATTTTTATACACCATCAATATACAAGCAAAGAGCCAAATCATGAATAAACTCCCATTCATAATCGCTACAAAGAATAAAATACCTAGGAATACAGCTAACAAGGGATGTGAAGGACCTCTTCAGGGAGAACTACAAACCACTGTTCAAGGAAATAAGAGAGGACACAAAGAAATGGAAAAACATTCCATGCTCATGGATAGGAAGAAACAATATCGTGAAAATGGTCATACTACCCAAAGTAATGTATAGATTCAATGCTGTTCCCATCAAACTACCATTGACATTATTTACAGAATTAGAAAATAACTACTTTAAACTTCATATTGAATCAAGGAAGATCCCATATAGCCAAGACAATCCTAACCAAAAAGAACAAAGCTAGAGACATCATGCTACCTGACTTCAAACTATACTACAAGGCTACAATAATCAAAACAGCATGGTAGTGGTACCAAAACAGGCATATAGGCCAATGGGATAGAACAGAGACCTCAGAAATAACACCACACATCTGCAACCATCTGATCTTTGACAAAGCTGAAAAAAACAAGCAATGGGGAAAGGACTCCCTATTTAATAAATGGTGCTAGGAGAACTGGGTAGCCACATGCAGAAAACTGAAACTCGACCCTTTCCTTACACCTTATTCAAAAATTAACTCAAGATGTGTTAAAGACTTAAATGTAAAACCCAAAACTATAAAAACCCTAGAAGAAAACCTAGGTAATACCATTCAGGACACAGGCATGGGCAAAGACTTCTTGACAAAAATGCCAAAAGCAATTGCAACAAAACCCAAAATTGACAAATGGGATCTAATTAAACTAAAGAGCTTCTGCACAGCAAAAGAAACTATCCTCAGAGTGAACAGGCAACCTACAGAATGGGAGAAAATTTTGCAATCTACACATCTGACAAAGGTCTAATATCCAGAATTCATAAGGAATTTAAACAGATTTACCAGAAACATACAACCCCATCAAAAAGTGGGCAAAGGATATTAACAGACACTTCTCAAAAGAAGACATACATGCAGCCAACAAACATTTGAAAAAAAAAAAAAACAACATCACTGATCATTAGAGAAATGCAAATCAAAACCACAATGAGATACCATCTCACGCCAGTCAGAATGGCGATTATTAAAAAGTCAATAAACAATAGATGCTGGTGAGGCTGTGGAGAAATAGGAATGGTTTTACACTGTTGGTGGGAATGTTAATTAGTTCAACCATTGTGAAAGACAGTATGTAGATTTCTCAAGGATCTAGAACCAGAAATACCATTTGACACAGCAATTCCATTACTGGGTATATACCCAGAGGAATATAAATCATTCTACTATAAAGACACATGCACGTGTTTGTTTATTGCAGCACTCTTGACAATAGCAAAGACATGGAACCAACCCAAATGCCCGTCAGTGATAGATTGGATAAAGAAAATGTGGTACATATGCACCATGGAACACTATGCAGTCACAAACAGAGAATGCGATCATGTCCTTTGAAGGGACATGGGTGAAGCTGGAAGTCATCATCCTCAGCAAACTTAACGTGGGAACAGAAAACCAAACACCCCATGTTCTCACTCTTAAGTGGGTGTTGAACAATGAGAACACATGGACACACGGAGGAGAACAACACACACCAGGGCCTGTTGGGCGGCGGCAGCGAGGTTAGGGAACTTAAAGGATGGGTCAATAGGTGCAGTAAATCACTGTGGCACATGTATACCTATGTAACAAATGTGCACGTTCTGTATAGGTATCCTAGAACTTAAAATAATGTAATTTTAAAGGTCAAAAAACCCTGTACATTTATTTTATACAAAGTGATGTTTCAATGTAGGTATACATTGTATAATGGTCAAATCAGGCAGTTACTATATCTAACAGTTTAAACATTTATCATTTCTGTGTGGTGATAATATTCAAAATCCTCTCTTCTGCCTATCTTGAAATATACATTGCATTCTTATTAGCTATAGTCACCCTATAAAGTTTCAAAAGCTGGAGGTTTTGGTGCTCAATTGATTGAACAGTTTGACTAAAGATTTCCAAGTGAATTTTTAAAACATGCACCCAAGTTTAGATGATTTATTCATAAAAGTGCTCAGTATCATTGCAGGGTACTTATGTTGATTTAAAAAATAGTTCTTCAAAGGCTCAAGCAATTTTGCTCATCTTAGTTTAGAGACATCTAAAAACTTCAAAAAAAAAAATGGCGAGCTTAACAAACTGTTAAGTCCCTTTCGGCATATCTTCTTACATCCTTCTTTGCCTTCCAACAATTGTGAATAATAGGACTAGAAAGAGAAAAATGAGAGAAAACCTCATAAGGTATTCAATCTCCATGCTTCCACAAATGTTTTGGAAATATTTGGAGACAGTTATGTATTAGTTAAATATTATCTCAATATGTGCTGTAGCTGAAAATCCTGTTATCAGTATAAAACTTTCTTCCTGTATTTCACAAGAATTGAGCCACATTTAGAGGCATCCACCAACCATTTTCTGGACATGAATTTACAAGATAAATAACTCCCCTTTAGGGAAATTAAATATTTATATATTTTAAGCATTTCAGTATTTAACACAACATGATAAGGAAAGAATATAAAAAGATTTCAATCTAGAGCAGTAATTTACTGAGTCTGAGAGATTGCCAGATTTGCTTGGATTTGCCAGATCCTGTTTTAGAAGTATGCCAAAGTGTGAATATTTTATATTTTTAAATATAAAATAAGTATTTCTAGTTACATAGTTTTCACATGACATGCTGGACTGTAGATTATATGGTTGCATGTTTTTCTTCCACTAAACTTGCATTTAGCAGCAAGTACGGAGCTCAAAAGTCCCTATCATCAATATTTTATATTGTAAAACTAATTTTAGTAGAATATTAAGCTTTTAAATTATTAAACATGTGAAGAACTCTTAATAGTCTATTATACATAAGTATTAAAACATAAGAGTTCAGACCAGTCTGGGTATTTAGAAAAATGAGTAATTTAAAAAATGGATCCAAAGATATTAAAAAGAAGATAATACAGTATTATAATGTGTCAGGAGATATTCAGGTTAAAATAATCATATCTTAGATAATTTGCCAATGAGATTAATATAATGCCTCTTTCTGATGACCACGTTTTTGTTAGGGCCTTTATTTGAACAGTGTTCCTACAGCTTTCAATAACTAAAAGATTAGCAGCCTTTTCTAAACAACCATTCTTTTAAACATAAAATAGCACTATTAAACAGGATTAGAACTCTGTATTAGATTGAAAGCACCCTGAAATGAAGAGCCCCATCTATCACATTAAGCCTGTACTGTAGTCCCCTTTTATCCACAGGGGATAAATTCCAAAACTGCCAGTGAATGGCTGAAACCACAGATACTACTGAACCCAAGTACTGCGATACCACAATAGCTGATCTGATAACCCAGATGGCTGGTAAGTGAATAACAAGTGGGTAGCCTATACAATGTGAATTCACTGGACAAAGGGATGATTCATGTCCCAGTGGGATGGAGTGGGAAGGTGTAAAATTTCATCATACTCCTCAGACTGGCACATAATTTAAAACCTAAGTATTATTTATGTCTGGAAGTCTTTATTTAATATTTCAGATCACAGTTGACCTTGGAAAGCAAAACTGAAGATAAGGAAAGACTACTCTATTCTCATTGCTGGGCAAAGTCCCTCATACTTAGTAAGTGATGTCTTTCCTTAATGAAGTCACAGACCTAATTTTATGTTTTAGCCCTTCCACTTATAAGATATACATCCAAAAAAAGGACAAAGCACTCCAAAGGGGAAATGTATCTTTTTGTCAAGTCAGGGAATACTTAGTAAGGAGAAGACAATTTGAGTTATCAGTGTCAAGAGAGAAGTTGGATTGCAGGAACAAAGTTGATGCCATTAAAAAAAAAAAAGAATAGAAGTTGTTTGTGAAATAATGAGTGTCCACTGCATTAGTTATATGAAGGGAAGTAATGGAAAGCTATGTTGGAGGGAGGGGAATTTTTTAGCCAGAAAAGCACATTTGTAGTTGTACTTATAAAGATGATTAACAGTAGTGCTTATAAAATGGACTGGATCAGAGATCCTTTATACAACTGTAAATGCTTTATATATTATTTCTATAAATCACCCTGGGTTCTTAGTTATTCATATTTTAAAAGTTCATTGATAACTGTATATTAAGATGCTAAAATAATAGAATTGCTTTTGCAAATACAAATATATGCCAAATAGATTCCAGTTATCAATCATTTGGTAATTTACTCCTCTGTTTATAAATTTCAAAATATGTTCCAAGGCGTGGAATCTGAGAATTCTTTTTTCCAAAACATTGTACATATTATATGAGCTGTGTTAAAGTGAATCTAATCTTAGTCTATGCATCATCATATTTCAGAAGCTGTTACCCAGGTCGTGATATGTCTTTTTTCACATACATGTGAATATGAAAATAGCACTATATGTATAAAATTTCTTTTTATGGTAACTCACAAATATTATTTCTCTGCATGTTTATTTTATACTGTTTTATTTTTTCTGTAGCCAACTTCATTAGATCTGCTTGTTTGCCCTCAGGTAGAACATCTGTTAAGGGAATAAATGATTGATGGTTGAGTAGAATCTAGGGAAATAATCGAGATGAAAGAAGCAGTGTTGTACAAAAGTTAAGAGCTGCAGATTTGGGCTTGACAATTTGGAATGAAATATTAGGTTTTCCACTAAATAGGGCTTTTTAACCTATGTGCCTCACTTTCTACATCTGTAAACTTGGGAGAGTAATTCAAGATGCTACCTACTTCTTAGGATTATCATGAGGCTTAAATTAGGTAATACATGTAAAAGCTCATAGAACATAGTCTGATAAGTGGAAAGGACTAATAGATGTTAGCTATAAATCATTATTTTCATAATTTGAGTTACATACTCTAAGAAAGGTCCACATATACCTTACTAGAATAGTTATCAAACTTTATTATGCAAATTTTATTGTACAAATTTGTTTTTTTATGTATTTTGTTTTGTTTGTTTTTCCATAGGTTATTGGGGGTACAGGTGGTGTTTGGTTACGTGAGTAAGTTCTTTAGTGGTGATTTGTGAGATTTTGGTGCACCCATCACCTGAGCAGTATACACTGCACCCTATTTGTAGTCTTAACCCTCCCCCTCCACCCTTACTCCCAAGTCATTAAAGTCTGTTGTATCATTCTTATGCCTTTGTGTCCTCATAGCTTAGACCCCACATATCAGTGAGAATATACAATGTTTGGTTTTCCATTCCTGAGTTACTTCACTTAGAATAATAGTCTCTAACCTCATCCAGGTCGCTATGAATGCCGTTAATTCATACCTTCTTTTGGCTGAGTAGTATTCCTTTGTATATATATGCCACAGTTTCTTTATCCACTTGTTGATTGATGGGCACTTGGGTTCGTTCCATGATTTTGCAGTTGTGAATTGTGCTGCCATAAACATGCGTGTCCAAGTGTCTTTTTCATATAATGACTTCTTTTCCTCTGGGTAGATACCCAGTAGTGGGTTTGCTGGATCAAATGGTAGTTCTTTTTTTTTTTTTTTTTTAAATTATACTTTAAGTTCTAGGGTACATGTGCACAATGTGCAGGTTTGTTACATAGGTATACATGTGCCATGTTGGTTTGCTGCATCAACTTGTCATTTACATTAAGTATTTCTCCTAATGCTATCCCTCCCCCAGCCCCCTACCCCCCCACAGGCCCCAGTGTGTGATGTTCCCCGCCCTGGGTCTGTGTGTTCTCGTTGTTCAATTCCCACCTATCAGTGAGAACATATGGTGTTTGGTTTTCTGTCCTTGTGGTGGTTTGCTGAGAATGATGGCTTCCAGCTTCATCCATGTCCCTGCAAAGGACATGAACTCATCCTTTTTTATGGCTGCATAGTATTCCATGATGTATATGTGCCACATTTTCTTAATCCAGTCTATCATTGATGGACATTTGGGTTGGTTCCAAGTCTTTGCTATTGTGAATAGTGCCGCAATAAACATACATGTGCATATGTCTTTATAGTAGCATGATTTATAATCCTTTGGGTATATACCCAGTAATGGGATGGCTGGGTGAAATGGTATTTCTAGTTCTAGATCCTTGAGGAATCGCCACACTGTCTTCCACAATGGTTGAACTAATTTACACTCCCACCAACAGTGTAAAAGCATTACTATTTCTCCACATCTTCTCCAGCACCTGTTGTTTCCTGACTTTTTAATGATCGCCATTCTAACTGGCATGAGATGGTATCTCCTTGTGGTTTTGATTTGCATTTCTCTGATGACCAGTTATGAGTATTTTTTCATGTGTCTGTGGGTTGCATAAATGTCTTCTTCTGAGAAGTGTCTGTTCATATCCTTTGCCCGCTTGTTGATGGGGTTGGTTTTTTCTGTAAATTTGTTTAAGTTCTTTGTAGATTCTGGATGTTAGCCCTTTGTCAGATGGGTAGATTGCAAAAATTTTCTCCCATTCTGGAGATATTAGCCCTTTGTCAGATGGATAAATTGCAAAAATTTTCTCCTGTTCTGTAGGTTGCCTGTTCACTCTGATGGTAGTTTCTTTTGCCTTGCAGAAGCTCTTTAGTTTAATTAGATCCCATTTGTCCATTTTGGCTTTTGTTGCCAATCAAATGGTAGTTCTACTTTTAGTTCTTTAAGGAATCTCCACACTGTTTTCCATAGTGGTTCTACTAGTTTACATTCCTACCAGCAGTGTAGAAGTGTCCTCTGATCACTGCATCCACACCAACATCTAATGGTTTTTGGTTTTTTGATTATGGCCATTCTTGCAGGAGTGAGGTGGTATCACACTGTGGTTTTGATTTACATTTCTCTGATCATTGGTGATGTTGAGCATTTTTTCATGTGTTTGTTGCCCATTGGTATATCTTCTTTTGAGAATTGTCTATTTATGCCCTTAGCCCACTTTTAGATGGGATTTTTTATTTTCTATTTTTTGCTAATTTTTTTGAGTTTGTTGTATATTTTGGATATATATTAGTTCTTTGTCAGATGTATAGATTGTGAAGATTTTCTCCCACTCTGTGGGTTGTCTGTTTACTCTGCTGACTGTTCCTTTTGCCATGCAAAAGCTCTTTACCAGCTATGTATCTTTGCTTTTATTGCATATGTTTTGGGATCTTGGTCATGAAATCCTTGCCTAAGCCAACGTGTAGAAGGGTTTTTCTGATGTTATCGTCTAGAATTTTTATAGTTTCTTAGATTTAAGTCCATAATCCATGTTGATTTGATTTTTGTGTAAGGTGAGAGATGAGGATCCAGTTTCATTCTCTTACATGTGGCTAGCCAATTATCCTAGCACCATTTCTTGAAAAGGGTGTCCTTTCCCCACTTTATGTTTTTGTTTGCTTGTTGAAGATCAGTTGGCTAAGTATTTGGGTTTATTCCTGGTTTCTCTATTCTGTTGCATTGGCCCGTGTGCCTATTTTTATACCAGTACCATGCTGTTTTGGTGATTGTGGCCTTATAGTATAGTTTCAAATCAGGTAGTGTGATGCCTCCAGGTTTGTTCTTTTTGCTTAGTCTTGCTTTGGCTATGCGGGCTCTTTTTTGGTTTCATATGAATGTTAGAATTTTTTTTTTCTAATTTGGTGAAGAATGATGGTGGTATTTTGAATGGGGATTGGGTTGAATTTGTAGATTGCTTTTGGCACTATGTCATTTTCTTTGTTGTTTTTTTTTTATTTGTTTGTTTGTTTGTTTATTTTGTTTTTGAGACGGAGTCTCTCTCTGTTGCCCAGACTGGAGTGCAGTGACGTGATCTTGGCTCACTGCAACCTCCACCTCCCAGGTTCAAGTGATTCTCCTGTCTCCTCCTCCCAAGTAGCTGGTACTACAGGCATGTGCCACCACACCTGGCTAATTTTTGTATTTTTAGTAGAGACAGGGTTTCACCATGTTGGCCAGGCTGGTTTCACAATCCTCACCTCAAGTGATCTGCCCGCCTTGGCCTCCCAAAGTGCTGGGATTACAGGTGTGAACCACCATGCCAGGCCCAGTATGGTCATTTTCACAATATTGATTCTACCCATCCACGAGTGTGGGATGTATTTAATCATAAAGGGATGCTGGATTGTGTCATCTGTGATTTTGTTCAGCAGTGTTTTGTAGTTTTCCTTGTAGAGGTCTTTCACCTCCTTGGTTAGGTGGATTCCTAAGTATTTTATTTTATTTTTTTTGCAGCTATTTTAAAAGGAGTTGAGTTTTTTATTTGATTCTCTGTTTGGTTGCTGTTTGTGTGTAGAAGAGCTACTGATTTGTGTACATTAATTTTGTATCCAGATACTTTGCTGAATTCTTTTATCAGTTCTAGGAGCTTTCTGGAGGAGTCTTTAGGGTTTTTGAGGTAAACGATCATATCATCAGCAAACAGTGACATTTTGACTTCCTCTTCAACTATTTGGATTCCGTTTTTTACTTTCTCTTGTCTGATTAATGTGGCTAGGACTTCGTGGTGAGAGTGGGTATCCTTGTCTTGTTCCAGTTCTTAGAGGGAATGCTTTCAACTTTTCCCCATTCAGTGTTATGTCGGCTGTGGGTTTGTCATAGATGGCTTTTATTACATTGAGGTGTGTCCCTTGTATGCCCATTTTGCTGAGAGTTTTAATCATAAAAGTTGCTGGATTTTGTCAAATGCTTTTTTTGCATCTATTGAGATGATAATGTGATTTTTGTTTTTAATTCTTTTTATGTGAGGTATCACATTTATTGACTTGTGTATGTTAAACCATCCCTGCATCCCTGGTATGAAACCCACTTGATCATGGTGGATTATGTTTTTGATAATGTTGTTGGATTTGGTTAGCTAGTATTTCGTTAGGGATTTTAGCATCGATGTTCTTCAGGGATATTGGTCTGTAGTTTTCTTTTATGGTTATGTCCTTTCCTGGTTTTGGTATTAGGGTGATGTTGGCTTCATAGAATGAATTAGGGTTGGTTCCCGGTTTCTCTATCTTGTGGAATAGTATCAATAGGATAGGTATAAATTCTTCTTTGAATGTCTGGTAGAATTCAGCTGTGAATCTGTCTGGTCCTGGACTTTTTTCTGTTGTTAATTTTTAAATTACTGTTTCAGTCTTGCTGCTTGTTATTGGTCTGTTCAGGGTATGTATTTTTTCCTGATTTAAGGTAGGAGGGTTGTATCTTTCCAGGGAATTATCCATCTCTTCTAGGTGTTCTAGTTTATGCACATTAAGGTGTCCGTAGTAGCCTTGAATGATCTTTTATATTTCTGTGGTGTCAGTTGTAGTATCTCCCGTTTCATTTCTTATTAAGCTTATTTGGATTTTTTGTCTCCTTTTCTTGGTTAATCTTGCTAATGGTCTATCAATTTTATTTATCTTTTCAAAGAATCAGCTTTTTGTTTCATTTATCTTTTGTATTTTTTTGTTTGTTTCAATTTCATTTAGTTCTGCTCTGATCGTGGTTATTTCCTTTCTTCTGCTGGTTTTAGGTTTGGTTTCTCTTTGTTTGTCTAGTTCCTTGAGGTGTGACATGAGATTGTCAGTTTGTGCTCATTCAGTCTTTTTGATGTAGGTGTTTAGGGCTATGAACTTTCCTGTTAGCACTGCCTTTGCTGTATTCCAGAGGTTTTGATAGGTTGTGTCACTATTGTAGTTCAGTTCAAATAATTTTTAAATTTCCATCTTGATTATATTTTTGACCCAGTGATCATTCAGGAGCAGGTTATTTAATTTCCATGGATTTGCATGGTTTTGAATGTTTCTTTTGGAGTTGATTTCCAGTTTTATTCTGCTGTGGTCTGAGAGAGTGCTTGATATAATTTCAGTTTTCTTAAATGTATTGAGGCTTGTTGTTTTGTGGCATATCATATGGTCTATCTTGGAGAAAGTTCCATGTGCTGTTGAATAGAATGTGTATTCTGCAGTTGTAGAATGGAATGTTCTATATATCTATATATATATAGATATATCTGTTAAGTCTGTTTGTTCCAAGGTATAGTTTAAATTGATTGTTTCTTTGTTGACTTTCTGTCTTGATGACCTGTCTAGTGCTGTCAGTGGAGTATTAAAGTTCCCCACTATTATTGTGTTGCTGTGTATTTCATTTCTTAGGTCTATTAGTAATTGTTTTATAAATTTGGGACCTCCAGTGTTAGGTGCATATATGTTTAGGACTGTGATGTTTTCCTGTTGGACAAGGCCTTTTACCATTATATAATGTCCCTCTTTGTCTTTTTTAATTGCTGTTGCTTTGAAGTTTGTTTTGTCTGATACAAGAATAGCTACTCCTGCTGGCTTTTGGTGTGCATTTGCATGAAATGCCCTTTTCCAACCTTTTACTTCATGTGAGTCCTTAAGTGTTAGATGAGTCTCTGGAAGGCAGCAGATGGTTGGTGAATTCTTATCCATTCTGCAGTTCTTTCTGTCTTTCAGATGGAGCATTTAAGCTATTTACATTCAGTGTTAGTAGTGAGATGTGAGGTACCATTTGATTCATCATGCTATTTGTTGCCTGTGTACCTTGGTTTTTTGTTTTGTTTTGTTTTGTTTGCTTTTTAAATTGTATTTTTTATAGGTCATGTGAGATTTATGCTTTAAATAAGTTCTGTTTTGATATTTTTCCAGGAATTGTTTCAAGATTTAGAACTTCTTTTAGCAGTTCTTGTAGTGGTGGCTTGGTAGTGACGAATTTTCTCGGCAGTTGTTTGTCTGAAAAAGATTATATCTTCATGTATGTTGCTTAGTTTCAGTGGATACAAACTTCTTGGCTGAGAATTGTTTTGTTTGAGGAGGCTGAAGATAGGACCCCAATCCCTTCTAGCTTGTAGGGTTTCTGCTGAGAAATCTGTGGTTAATCTAAGTTTCCCTTTATAGGTTACCTGGTGCTTTTGTCTCACAGCTCTTAAGATTCTTTCCTTCGTCTTAACTTTGGCTAACCTGGTGACAATATGCCTAGGCGATGATCTTTTTGTGATAAATTTTCCAGGTGTTCTTTGTGCCTAGGTCTCTAGCAAGACTGGGGAAGTTTTCCTTGATTATTCCCCAAAATATGTTTTCCAAGCTTTTAGAATTCTCTTCTTCCTCAGGAACACCGATTATTCTTAGGTTTGGTCGTTGAGCATAATCCCAGACTTCTCTGAGGCTTTGTTCATATTGTCTTATTATTTTTTCTTTGTCTTTGTAGGATTGAGTTCATTTGAAGACCTTGTCTTCGAGCCCTGAATTTCTTTCTTCTACTTGTTCCATTCTATTGCTGAGACTTTCCGGAGCATTTTGCATTTCTATAAGTGTGTCGTATGTTTCCTGAAGTTTTGATTGTTTTTTTATTTATGCTGTCTATTTCATTGAATATTTCTTCTTCACTTCTTATATCATTTTTTTTTATTTCCTTGCATTGGGCTTCGCCTTTCTCTGGTGCTTCCCTGATTAGCTTAATAACTAATCAATAATCTTCAGAATTCTTTTTCAGGTAAATCAGGGATTTTTTCTTGGTTTGTATCAATTGATGGTGAGCTAGTGTGATTTTTGGGGGGTGTTAAATAAGCTTGTTTTGTCATAGTACCAGAGTTGGTTTTCTGGTTCCTTCTCATTTGGGTAGGCTCTGACAGAGGGAAGATCTAGGGCTGAAGTCTGTTATTCAGATTCTTTGGCCCACAGGGGTTTCCCTTGATATAGTACTCTTCCCCTTTTCCAATGGCTGTGGCTTCCTGAGAGCCAAGCTGCAGTGATGGTTATCTCTCTTCTTGGTCTAGCCATCTACCGCGCCTACCCGGCTCCAGGCTTGTACTAGGGGTTGTCTGCACAGAGTCCTGTGATGTGAACCGTCTATGGGTCTCTCAGCCGTGGATACCAGCAGCTGTTCCAGTGGAGATGACAAGGGGGTAAAATGAACTCTGTGAGGGGTCTTAGCTTTGGTGGTTTAATGCTCTATTTTTGTGCTGGTTGGCCCCCTGCCAGGAGGTGGTGCTTTCCAGAGAGTATCAGCTGTGGTAGTATGGGGAGGAACCAGAGGTGGGTGGGGCCCTAGAATGCCCGAGTGTACACCCTTTGTGTTCAGCTACCAGGGTGGGTAGGGAAGTGTGTCCGGAATTGGTTCCTTCCAGTGGGTTCTTGGTCTCACTGACTTCAAGAATGAAGCTGTGGACCCTCGCAGTGAGTGTTACAGTTCTTAAAGATGGTGTGTCTGGAGTTTGTTCCTTCAGATGTTCAGATGTGTCTGGAGTTTCTTCCTTCTGGTGGGTCTCGCTGACTTCAGGAATGAAGCCGCAGACCTTTGTAGTGAGTGTTACAGTTCTTAAAGGTGGCACGTCCGGAGTTGTTTGTTCCTCCCGATGGGTTCGTGGTCTCGCTGACTTCAGGAATAAGCCACAGACCCTCGTAATGAGTGTTACAGCTCATAAAGGTAGTGCGGACCCAAACAGTGAGCAGCAGCAAGATTTACTGTGAAGAGCAAAAGAACAAAGCTTCCACAGCGTGGAAGGGGACCCCAGTGGGTTGCTGCTGCTGGCTCAGGTGGCCAGCTTTTATTCCCTTAGTTGGCCCTGCCCATGTCCTGCTGATTGGTCCATTTTACAGAGTGCTGATTGGTGCGTTTACAATCCTTTAGCTAGACACAGAGTGCTGATTGGTGTGTTTTTACAGTGTGCTGATTGGTGCGTTTACAATCCTTTAGCTAGACACAGAGTGCTGATTGGTGCACTTACAATCCTCTAGCTAGACAGAAAAGTTCTCCAAGTCCCCACTCGACCCAGGAAGTCCAGCTGGCTTCACCTCTCAGAAGGACCATCAGGTGGGGGCAGGGCCCAGGATGTCTGAGCTCAGACTCTCCTTGGGCAGGTCTTGCTGCAGCTGCTGTGGGGGATGGGGGTGAGGTTCCCAGGTCAATGGAGTTGTGTACCTAGGAGGATTATGGCTGCCTCTCACACGTCCTTCAGGTTGTCAGGGAATTTGGGGAAAGCCGGCAGTCACAGGCCTCACCCAGCTCCCACGCAATCCACAGGGGTGGTCTCTCCCACCATGCCCCTGCTAGCAGCACCAAGTCTGTTTCCAGGCAGTGGGCAAGCAGGGCTGAGAACTTGCACCAGGCTACCTGCTTCCCATCTGTGAAAGAAAGTAGGGCTTTAATTTTCCTGTTCAAGTTGTTACCAAGATCAGCTGGAGATTTCCTTCTCCCTGTGGCATTTTCCCAGTGCCTCTGGCCGCCCTCCAGAAAGATCCCTGTAATGCCAGACAGGAATGGCTTGCTTGTGGACCCAGAAAGCTCACAGGACTTTTTCCTCTGATGCCTCTATCCGTGTATTTCGCTTGGCTGTCTAAATTGACTCAGCTCCAGGTAAGGTCAGAATCTTTTCCCATAAACTAGACATTAAGTTTCCCCAGTGAGGATGTGTGTTCGGGGGCTGAGAATCTCCCTTTCCCACTTTCTCAGTTTGGGCAGTCACATTATCTCAGGTGTCTCCTGGGTCCTGCAGGAGCGGTCCTCTTTCTTCAGAGGGTCTGTGGGTCCTCTCGGGTTTCCTGATTTATTCCTGCAGTCGTTCTGTAGCCAAAATTCACCGTGTGAACCTCCACACGCTGCTCTGTTCATCCCAGTCAGAGCTGCCATGTAGTCCTGCCTCCCATCCACCATGACAGCCAATCTCCCTGCTGCACAAATTTGTGAAAAACGTATATTCCCATGTCATGGTGAAGAGATTCTGATTCATTAACATAAGGATGAGACCCAGAAATAGATGTTTTTAGGAAACATCATAGATAACCTGATAAATAACATATTTTCAGAAATTTTCTATGGGTTTCAAAAAGTGTAATAGTTGCACTATGGTGGTAATAACTGATACATTCAGGTACTACTAGTGACCATGTAAATCATAAAACTTTGGAAACAAATTTGCCATTTTCTAAAGAGTTATTAAAATGTTATATAATTTGATTCAATTATCTTATTTTTTATTGTTTTTTGTAAGGCAGTAATCTAGAAGGTTATTTTAATTTATACATTATTTCCAAGATTTTGATATTAAAAGTGACATAGAATCTAAATTATTGTTTATCTGCTCAATGGATCATTATATAACCATTAAATTTTATAATTATGAATACTGTAGTATCAGGGAAATAAAAGGTAGATAAAAAGCATAAATCTCATTTATTTGTACAGTACATTTTCAATTGTCTAAAGATTGTCTAAAAATAAAGAGTAAAGGAATATGTTCAAATTTAAAGTAGTTGGTTTTGGCCAAGTGTGGCAGCTCACTCCTGTAATCCCAGCAAAATGAGAAGCTGAGATGGGCAGATCACATGAGACCAAGAGTTCGAGACCAGCCTGGCCAACACGGCGAAACCCCGTCTCTACTGAAAATACAAAAATTTGCTGGGGGTGGTTGTGCACATCTAAAATTTCAGCTACTTGGGAGGCTAAGGCATGAGAATCACTTGAACATACTTCTTGAATAAAGAAGTCACTTCCTGGACTCTAAGCCAAGAGTCTAAGCCAAATATCAGACCAGTTTTTCCAGGGGGCCTTATTAGCATTCATTTGTTAAAGTCAACCTTAGTTTCTTAAAGCTGACCATCATATCTAATTTTGCACATCATACTCACTAATGGTTTCCAGATTCTGGAGGAATCAAGTAGAGAGAAAAAGTAATTATTTCAATTTTATTTATAAAAATATAATCTAGGCCAGGCATGGTGGCTTATGCCTGTAATCTCAGCATTTTTGGAGTCCAACGCAAGTGGATAGCTTGAGCCTAAGAGTTCAAGGCTGCAGTGAGCTATGATCACACCGCTGCACTCTTGCCTTATTGATGGAGAGAGATGCTGTCTCTTTGTAAAAAACAGAAAAACATAACCTACCACATTGCGGTAAACTATAAATATCCTAAGAGAAAATGCTTTTCTTAAATCTGGAAGCCAAAGCACAAAAGAGCCAGCAAAATTTTGAAGAAAAGGTTATTAAATAATTATAATCACCCTTTTCAGTTTATTTAGTCAAATCTAATTAAGTCTTATTCTGCTGTATCTTGGCTTGGCAATTTTATGAGCTCATCAGTTGCTTTATTAGAGTTGTGGAAATTCTTACCCAGTCCAATGGTATGATCTTAAAGTTATCAGAAACCTTTATTCTGTAGCACTTTTCAGAGCCTTTTCCATTAGACACTTTGGCCTATATCAGATTGTAAATGCTTTCAGAGAAGAATCAAAGTAAAACAATAAATTGAGAATGACAAAAGGCTTAAAATCACCATAAAGATCTGATGAGAGTTTATTTGCTAAGGAAATTTATTTATTGCTGTGGCTAATGATATTTTAACATAATAATTGGAATTGTGACTGGTAACATTATGCCAAACCTATCATGAATAACATATTGACAAATTTCTATCAACTTTATATAACTCCTGAAACACTTATATTAATAACATATATCTATATACATATAACCTAAAGAAGATATAGCATCAGTTCTTATTTGACAGTACTTCCTCTGTAATTTAACAAATCAAACTAATTAACATAACATCTCTCTTTTACAAGGCAAGAGACAAATCCTTTGATATTTTCCAGGAACCCTCTGGGAACTCTCAATGTTAATTTAAAGTCAAAGATACGTTATGTAGAATTTGATTTGGGCCGGGCACAGTGCCTCATGCCTGTAATCTCAACACTTTGGAAGGCCGAGGCAGGCGAATCACCTGAGGTCAGGAGTTTGAGACCAGTCTGGCCAACATGATGAAACCTCGTTTCTATCAAAAATACAAAAATTAGCTGGGCATGTTAGTGCCCGCCTGTAATCCCAGCTACTCGGGAGGCTGAGGCAGGAGAATTGCTTGAACCTGGGAGGCGGAGCTTGCAGTGAGCTGAGATTATGCCATTGTACTCCAGCCTGGGCAGTAAGAGCGAAACTCTGTCTCAAAAAAAAAAAAAAAAAAAAGGAAAAAAAAGAATTTGATTTAATTTGGGAAAGTTTGTCAAAAATGTCAGAAGGTTTTAAACACTAGAATCACACATCATTATAAAACAATACTTATATATAAGTATTGTTTATTACTTTATTACTTATAAACAAAGTAATAAAATATTTTATAAGCACATATAGAAGTTACATAGTTGTAAATAAAACTGAGTACTTTTAACATTGAAAGGATTCCGCTTTTTTAAGTAATCAAAATAACTGATAAAGGTAACATGAAATTGTTCAAAATAACTGATAAAGGTAACATGAAATTGTTCTAACATACAAAACCTTGATTTTCTAGGCAGATTACTTAAAAACTGGGGGAAAACCCTTTCACGATATCGTTATCAAGAGCAGACAGGTAATCCAAGAAAAGTATGTCATTTTAACAGAGAACACAGAATTCTAATATGGCATGTGTTCTATTAATACTAAGGCTTTGTTTGTTTGTTTTTTGTTTTTAAGAGACAAGGTCTCACTCTCTGTTGTCCAGGCTGGAGTGCAGTGTAGCTATCATAGCTCACTGCAGCCTCAAACTCCTGGGCTCAAGTGATCCTCCCACCTCATCCTTTTGAGTAGCTAGGACTACAAGGATATGCCGCCATGCACAGCTAATTTGCCTAATTTTTGTGGAGATGGGGTCTCACTGTGTTGCCCAGCCTGGCTTGAACTCCTGGCTTCAAGTGATCCCCCCACCTCTAATGCTCAAATTGCTGGGATTACAGGAGTGAGCCACCATGCCTGGCCACTAAAGCTTATTAAAAAACAACAACAACAAAATACTTTTGACTAAATCTGTCCAATCTTAGCCAACTCTACCACACAAAATAAGATCCTGTTTCCAAGATTACTTTTCCACAAACCTGTAGTTTTAAAAAATATATTCAGTTTTTGTCCTGTTCTTTTTTCTCTTTCTCTTTGGCACAACCAGTCATTCTTACTTTAGGACAAAGTGACACTCTTTTTCCCTTAACAAACCCACATCCTTCATTCTTTTCCTCATCAAAAAACACATTCTACTTCCCTTGAATACTTTGCATATAGGGTTTTTTCCTGATTAGATTTTTTTGTGTGTGTGACAGGGTCTCACTCTGTCGCCCAGGCTTGATTGCAGTGGCACAATCGTAGATCACTGTAACTTTGCACTGCTGGGCTTAAGCATACCTCCACAACCAACTAATTTTTTAATTTTTTGTAAAGAGTTCTCTGTTGTAAAGACTCATCTACTTGTAAAGACGAGTTATAAAAAGTTTATAACCTTTTATGAATATAATTTATAAAAGTTTATAACTTTATAAATATAAACTTTTATAAATTATATTTATAAAAGGTTATAACCTTTTGGTTATAAAAGGTTAACCTTTTGGTTATAACCTTTTATAAATATTATTTATGAAAGTTTATAAGTTAACGTGCTTTCATCTATTTAATTCACTTTTAATAATTATGCTTGGATTGCTCATGAAAATTTCATGAGACACTGCTCAAAGGTAGATATTCTCTTAAATTTTGTTGTTGACAAATCAGACAAGTATCTAAAATATCACAGAAGCAAAAATCCTAATAAACAAAAACCTTGTTTTTGCCTTTTTAAAGTGTATACATCAATTCATTTTTATTGTACATTTGATTCTTAGGTTGCATTTATAGTTTTATTCTCATAAATATCTGGTAGAGATAGCATAAGTTTGTTTGATGAGTAAACCTAAGTGGAAAACAATTATATGTCGTATTATGTTTAATGCTGACAACTCTGACAACATTCCTGTTTTTATTTTACCAACAATCTTTAAACCAGTTTTATTTACCAAAGATTATCCCAGATCACATGAACCTAAAATAATTAGGTTAGTTTTCATATTTTTGAGAGTTTTAGGAATACCTAGTTTATACAAGCACTGATTTTTCTTTACATCAATTAAATGGAGCCCTTTTGTATAATTTTCTATCTGGAGATAGAAAAATATCACAAATCTATGTCATGCATACATACACACACACACACACACACACACACACACACACAAACAGATTCAAATAAAGATCTTACAGGTTTCATTTGAAAATTTCTGCAATGAGTCAATAAAACATAGTAATGTGAACTCAACTGGTTTATATAAAATCTTGTCTTTTCGCCAGCTTATACTTTTATTCAATTTGTGATTCTGGCATATGGGACAAATCGAGGTTAGCTACTCAATATGAGGACCAGTGCTTTTCACCAATATTTGGGGAGGGTTTTTTTTTAAGATTTTAATTGCCCTTCTGATAGGTAATTTTTTTTATTTTTCTTTTTCCACAACAAATTCAGATCTTCCAATCATAAGTAGTATAATGGCAGCTGTGGACAAAACTTCAGACAAGTGACTAAGGAGACATCTAGCAGCTGTTCAGTTTTCTCCAAACTCTGTCTGAGAAAATACAATACCCAATCTATTTCCAATTAGCCTTTCTTTTTTATTTTTCAGCAGACCCCCTGAAGCCCTTGAGAACTGAGATTCCTAAAGTTCAAGTTACTGAGGGGCTGGAGTGGGAAGGGAAAATGTCTAACAGGGGTAGATAGAGGGATGCAGGAGGTAGGGGCTTGGAGAGAGGAATATCAAGGATTCAAGGGATGTGCCTTTCCTTCAGGTATAGGTAGGGTACCTCTTACATGAGAGTCTTAAAATCTGCTTCAGAGGAATGCCATTAAGTCCTTCCTACACGTGATTTCTCACATGCCTTCAGCTTAGAATATTCAGTATACCAACTGAATATTTTGTGATAGCATGTACTGAACTCTTCATTAGTTAAAAGTTGCTAAAGTTTAAGGAAGAGAGCATTTAATTCTCACCCTATCATATTAAAAATTGTATTTGAATACCCTGAACGTAGAGAAAAAGCTGGGCCCAGAACTAAAATAATATCAGGGTACCTGATATTGGAATTTTGAACTGAATTGTGTCTCCTCCAAATTTATATGTTGATGCACTGATTGCCAGTGTGACTGTGTCTGGTCTTTAGGAGGTAATTAAGGTTACATGAGATCATAAAAGTGTGGCTCTTCTTATAGGGCCACAGTCTTAATGCAATAGGACGGTGGCCTTATAACAAGAATACAGACTCACCTCCTTCTCTTCCTCATGACAACACTGCAAGAAGATGGCTGTCTTTGAGCCAGGAAGAAAGCCCTCATCAAAACCTGGCCATGCTGGCACCCTGATATTGGACTTTTGTTATGTAATCCACCCAGTGTATGTATTTTATTACAGCAGCCCTACCTGATTAACACATCTGCCAAGCTGAAATGTTGGACACCTGTCAAGTTTAAGGTGTATGTAATTGCTTTCTTCAGTCTTGATATAGATAGGTCTTTATTTAGTTCTAATCTTTTTTTCCCTTCATATTTGTTGCCCTCACTGGAAAACAGTATGTTTTATGTAGCAGTAAGAGCCTTGTAAATAATGTTTTTCAAGTGAGGACAGGACAGATAGTGTTTTTGTTTGTTTGTTTGTTTTGTTTGTTTTTTGACAGTGTCTTGCTCTGTTGCCCAGTCTGGAGTGCAGTGGCACAATCTCGGCTCACTGAAACCTCCGCCTCCTGGGTTCAAGCAATTCTCCTGCCTCAGCCTCCTGAGTAGCTGGGATTACAGGTGCACGCCACCACGCCTGGCTAATTTTTGTATTTTTCATAGAGACAGGGTTTTACCATGTTGGTCAAGCTGGTGACAGATAGTTTTAGTTGCCCCCTTCCTATGAAAATACAGAATACTGAATCCAGTTTTTGTGTATTCAATTAAAATTCCACTAATGCTTCAGCTTTTTTAACAAGAAAATATTTCTGTTTTGAATGTTTAACACAGAGTCACAAGATAGTCATGTATGCATGCCTGGTATTGAAAAAATCAGTAAAAAACTGATAACTTACTGACTATCCAAATTGTTACTATACTTTGATGTTTGTATTGTACCATGATGATAAATCTGGTCCTTAGCATAGTAATTGTTATTTTCATAATCTCTAAATCAGTTTCTTCTGGGTTCTGAGATCCAAAAAGATGAAACAAAGACTAATTGTTGACTGAAAGAAATATAAGTAACAGCTACTGCTAACACATTTTAAAATTAGAATGCATAAATTAACAAATAGTGCCAAAAAGTAAACACTTTTTTGCAAGGCAAATCATATGCCTTATCTACTCCCGTTCAAATTAATAAAAATACACTATTTATAAACATGTACTACTGTACTTTCCTTTTAGCTTTATTTCAGAAAAATGTGGAATAATTTACACTTCCACCTCTCAGGATGCTGTCAGCAGTAGCATAATAGCAAAAGTAGAAGCATTTTGAAATTTAAAAAAGGCAGAAATTAATTAAATTTAAAACAAATTAAAATTAAAATATGGTGGCATTATAAAGATGTGTTCTGATAAAAGTCTAGTATATTTTACTATTTTGAGAAGCAAATCAACTCATTTATGAATCCTTTTAATATTTTTCTGTATTTAATTGCATTTGCTAGAGCAGTCTTCTTCTAGGGATGTTTAAGATCCCTTTACTATTAATAGCTGGAAAATGAATAGTCAGAGTACTGATTGATGATATGATGATTTTAGACTATTATTATTTTGCATTTATATAGCATATTGCCTCATATGTATTCAAATATTTCATAAAAGCAGTTATCAGAATAACAAAGTCTGTATTTGCACACAAGTATTACAAACAATTTAAAGATACACAGATTGACCCTCCCTCATCTGAAAATCTGAAATCTGAAATTCTCTAAAATCTGAAATTTTTGAGTGCTGCCATGATGCCACAGGTGAAAAATTGCACACCTGACCTCATGCAGTGAATTGCAATCAAAACTTTATTTCAAGCACAAAATTATTTTAAAATATTGTATAAAAATCATCTTTATGCTACGAATATAAGGTATATATGAAACATAAATGAATTTTGTGTTTAGACTTTAGTCTTATATGATTTGGCTGTGTCCCCCCTCAAATCTCATCTTGAATTGTAACTCCCACAATTCCCACATGTCATAGGAGGAACCTGGTGAGACATAATTGAATCATGGTGGCTGGTCTCTCCCATGCTGTTCTAGTGAAAGTAGATAAGTCTCACAAGATCTGATGGTTTTTAAAACGGGAATTTCCCTGCACAAGCTCACTCTTGGCCTGCTGCCATCTTAGTAAGACGTGACTTGCTCCTCCATGCCTTCTACCATGATTGTGAGGCCTCCCCAGCCACGTGGAACTCTTAAGTCCATTAAATCTCTTTCTTTTGTAAATTGCCCAGTCTCAGGTATGTCTTTATCAACAGCATGAAAATGGACTAATGCAGTAAATTGGTACCAGTAGTGTGGGGTGCTGCTGAAAAGATACCCAAAAATGTGGAAGTGACTTTGGAACTGGGTAACAGGCAGAGGTTGGAACAGTTTGGAGGGCTCAGAAGAAGACAGGAAAATGTGGGAAAGTTTGGAAGTCCCTAGAGACTCGTTGAGTGGCTTTCACCAAAATACTGATAATGATATGGACAATGAAATCCAGACTGAGTTGGTCTCAGATGGAGATGAAGTACTTGTTGGGAACTGGAGAAAAGGTGACACTTGTTATGTTTTAGCAAAGAGACTTGCCCCTGCCCTAGAGATTTGTGGAACTTTGAACTTGAGAAAGATGATTAGGGTATCTGGCACAATTGATTTCTAAACAGTAAAGCATTCAAGAGGTGACTTGGGTGCTGTTAAAGGCATTCAGTTTTAAAAGGGAAACAGAACATAAAAGTTTGGAAAATTTATAGCCTGACAATGCGATAGAAAAGAAAATCCCATTTTCTGAGGAGAAATTCAAGCTGGCTGCAGATACATGCATAAGTAATAAGGAGCCAAATGTTAATCCCCAATACAATGGGGAAAATGTCACCAGGGCATGTAGGAGGTCTTCGAGGCAGCCCCTTTCATCACAGGCCCAGAGGCATAGGAGGAAAAATGGTTTCACGGGCTAGGCCCATGGTCCCTGTATTGTGTGCAGTCTAGGGACTTGGTGCCCTGTGTTCCAACCACTTTAGCCATGGCTAACAGGGGCCAAGGTAAAGCTTGGGATGTGGCTTCAGAGGGTGCAAGCCCCAAGCCTTGGCAGCTTCTACATGATGTTGAGCCTGCGAGTGCACAGAAGTCAAGAATTGGGGTTTGGGAACCTCTGCCTAGATTTCAGAGGATGGATGGAAATGCCTGGATGTCCAAGCAGAAGTTTGCTGCAGGGGTGGGGCTCTCATGGAGAATCTCTGCTAGGGCAGTGCAGAAGAGAAATGAGGGGTTGGAGCCCCCACACAGAGTCCCTACTGGGGCACGGCCTAGTGGAGCTGTGAGAAGAGGATCATTGTCCTCCAGACTTCAGAATAGTAGATCCACTGATAGCTTATACTGTGCACCTGGAAAAGCAGTGCACACTCAATGCCAGCCCATGGCAGCAGCCAGGAGGGAGGCTGTACCCTGCAAAGCCACAGGGTCGGAGCTACCCAAGACCATAGGAACCCACCTTTTGCATCAGCATTACCTGAATGTGAGACCTGGAGTCAAAGGAGATCATTTGATTTGACGTAAGATTTGACTGCCTTGCTGGCTTTCAGACTTGCGTGGGGGCTTTAGCCCCTTTGTTTTGGCCAATTTCTCCCATTTGTAAGGGCTGTATTTACCTGTACCCTCATTGTATCTAGGAAGTAACTAAATTGCTTTTGATTTTACTGGCTCATAGGTAAAAGGGACTTGCCTTATCTCAGATGAGACTTTGGGCTGTGAACTTTTGAGTTAATGCTGAAGTGAGTTAAGACTTTGGGTGACTGTTGGGAAGGCATGATTAGTTTTGAAATGTGAGGACATGAGATTTAGGAGGGGTCGGGGTGGAATGATATGGTTTGGCTGTGTCCCCACCCAGATCTCATCTTGAATTTTAACTCCCTCAATTCCCACATATTGTGGGAGGAACCTGGTGGGAGGTAATTGAATAATGGGGTTGAGTCTTTCCAATGCTGTTCTTGTGATAGTGAATAAGTCTCAGCTGATCTGATGGTTTTAAAAACAGGAGTTTCCCTGCACAGGCTCTCTCTTGGCCTGCTCCCATCCACATATAAAACATGGCTTGCTCCTCCTTGCCTTCCACCATGATTGTGAGGCCTCCCCAGCCACATCAAACTGTAAGTCCATTAAACCTCTTTATTTTGTAAATTGCCCTGTCTCGGGTATGTCTTTATCAGCAGCGTGAAAATGGACTAATACATATCCCCAGGATATCTCATTATATATGTATGCATATATTCCAAAATCCAAAAAAAGTTGAAATTTGGAAAAACTTCTAGTCCAAAGTATTTCAGATAAGGGATGTTCACCCTCTGTCTGTCCAAAAATCATGAACGAAGATCTAGTTTGTGTGTAGAAAGTTGCAGTTTCACCCTAAAAAGCAAAACAAGCTGGATAAGTCATATAATTCAAAGATTATATAATCAAAATTTTGGTTATAGCGATCTACGAGTAGTTGCCTGAGGTAGAGGGAATTTACTAGAAAGGGAAATTTGAGATCTTTCTTGGATGATGGAAATAGTCTATATGTTGCTTGGGTGGCAGTTTCACAATTACATAAAATTGTCAAAATCCATCAAACATAACATCAGAGATCATTATTTTTTGTATATATATTAACTTGATATGAAAATCTGAATGTGGTTTAATATGATTCAATTTGCATTTAATTTAAAATAGATTAATTTAGCAACAGTAGCAACAGTGAAGGTGGAATACGTTGAAAATAAAGGTTATGACTTTTGTGGGCACTGATAGTCAATGGGTTGTCAGAAAGAAGAGTAGTAATTCCCATTTTTTGTGTGGAACCATGGATACTGGTAGAAAATTTTTTCAGTTACACTAGTTCTGATCTGATCTCCCACTATGATTGTATAAAGCAGTGAAAACTCATTTAATATTCTTCCAGGACTTTCATTTATCAATGCCTACCAGGCAGTGATAATCAGGATAGCCATATGCTTTGTCTACTCTTGGTTAAATTAATGGAAACAACAACAACTTTATATAATATGGTAACTATACTGTATTGTGGTAGTCAAAGTTAGATTCATTTAGCTTGCTGCAATGCATAGGGAGGCTGTGCAAGGAGCTAAGGTATTTTGGTACAAGAAGTTACTAGGAATTCATCATAGGATTCAGGGTTGTGCTTAAACGTGGTTTCCGTGGACTCAGTGTCCTTAGAGTCTGCTAGGCTCCATGTGGGTTCTTCCTTTTGTGTCAGCCTCCAGGAAACTCACTCAAGCCTTTGAAAATCAGGCTCACCTATTTGTTTCCTGTCTCTCTGGAATCACTATCTTTACTCTTGAGTTTAATCGTTTGAATACCAAGCTGTTGATATATATATCTTCTGACTTTTTTAGGTGTTTTAGAAAATAGGGAAAATCCAGTATCTTTATTCCTTCTTGGTCAGAAATAAAAGTTCTCATATTTTTTTTACTAAAATGTTGGGGTAGGGTGATATGTGGATAGACAAAAAAGTTAATATGCCAGTGCTTATTTGTAAAACATAAAGCTTAAATGAAGAAAAGTAATATTAAAATAGTTATACATCGTTTTTTAAACACTATGTTCAAGGCATCTTGATCTGTGGAATTATGTATTTTAGCTAAGTTGTACTAAATAGTACTGATTCAGATATACAAATCATAATACTTATCAGCTAATTGAAAGCTCCTTGAGAGGAATATTTAATGGTTTAATTTTGAACATACTACATATTTTAAGTATCAAATGTTCAGTAAATATATATGTGGAATACATGTTTTCTGTGTCAGACACTGATATGGTTTGGCTCTGTGCCCCTACCTAAATCTTACCTCAAATTGTAATCCCCATGTGTCAAGGGAAGGACCTGTAATCTTCATGTGTCAAGGGATGGAGGTGATTGGATAATGTGGGTGGTTTCCCATGCTGTTCTCGTGATAGTGAGTTCTCACGAGATCTGATGGTTTGATAAGGCAGTTTTGCCTGCTCTTGCTGGCTCTCTCTTGCCTACCGCCATGTAAGACATGCCAGCTTCCCCTTCTGCCATGATTTTAAGTTTCTTGAGGCCTCCCCAGCCACATGGACATGTGAGTCAATTAAACCTCTTTTCTTTATAAATTACCCAGTCTTGGGTAGTTCTTTATAGCAGTGTGAGAACAGACTAATACAGTAAACTGGTAAAGTGGTGAGTGAGGTACTGCTATAGAGATACCCAAAAAGGTGGTTGTGACTTTGGAACTGGGTAACAGGCAGGGATTGGAATAGTTTGTAGGGCTCAAAAGAAGACAGGAAAATGTGGGAAAGTTTGGAACTTCCCGGAGACTTGCTGAATGGTTTTTACTAAAATGCTGACAATGAGGTGGCCAATGAAGTCCAGGCTGAGGTGATCTCAGATGGAGATGAGGAACTTCTTGGTAACTGGAGCAAAGGTCACTCCTGCCTTGCTTTAGCAAAGAGACTAGTGGCATTTTGCCCCTGCCCTAGAAATCTGTGGAACTTTGAACTTGAGGGAGATGATCTGAAATTGGAACTTATGTTTAAAAGGGAAGCAGAGCATAAAAGTTTGGAAAATTTGCAGCCTGACAATGTGATAGAAAAGAAAAATCAATTTTATGGGGAGAAATTGAAGCCCATTGTAGAAATTTTCATAAGTAATGAGGAGTGGAATGTGAATAGCCAAGACAGTGGGGAAAAATGTCACCAGGGCATGTCAGAGATCTTGGTGGCCACCCCTCCCATCACAGGCCCAGTGGCCTAGGAAGAAAAAATGGTTTCGTGGGCTGGGCCCTGAGCCCCTCTGCTCTGTGCAGCCTTGGGACATGGTGCCTTGTGTTCCAGCTGCTTCAGCTCCAGCCATGGCTAAAAGGGGCCAAGGTACAGTTTGGTCCATTGCTTCAGAGGGTGCAAGCCCCAAGCCTTAGTGGCTTCCATGTGGTGTTGGGCCTGAGGGTGCACAGAAGTCAAGAATTGAGTTTTAGGAACCTCCACCTAGATTTCAGAGGATGTATGGAAACACCTGGATGTCCAGGCAGAAGTCGGGTTTAGGGGCAGAGCCCTCACAGAGAACTTGTACAAGGGCAGTGCAGAAGGGAAATGTGGCTTTGGAGCCCCCACACAGAGTCCCCACTGGGGCACTGCCTAGTGGAGCTATGTGAGAAGAGGACCACCACCCTCCAGACCCCAGAATGGTAGAACACTGACAACCAGTACCATGAGCCTAGAAAAGCCACAGGTACTCAATGCCAGCCCATTCACCAAAGCTGCCCAAGGCTGTGGGAGCCCACCCATTGCATCAGCGTACCCTGGATATGAGACTTGGAGTCAGAGGAGATAAGCTTTCAAATTGAGTGACTGCCCCAATGGATTTAGAACTTGCATGGGGCCTGTAGCCCCTTTGTTTTGGCCAGTTTCTCCCATTTAGAATCGGTGTAGTTACCAAATGCCTGTGCCACCATTGTAACTTAAAAGTAACTAGCTTGGGTCCTTTTTGAGATGCAGTGTTGCTCTTTCGCCCAGGCTGGAGTGCAATGGCACAATCTCGACTCACTGCAACCTCCGCCTCCCCGGTTCAAGCGATTCTTCTGCCTCAGCCTCCCATGTAGCTGGTACTACAGGCACGCACTACCACACCTGGCTAATTTTTGTATTTTTAGTAGAGACGGGGATTCACCACATTGGCCAGGCTGCTCTTGAACTCCTGACCTCGTGATCCACCCCCCTCGGCCTCCCAAATTGCTGGGGTTACAGGAATGAGCCACCGCATCTGGCCTTGTTTTTTATTTTACCTGCTTATAGGCAGAAGGGACTTGCCTGTCTCAGATGACACTTTGGACTGTAGACTTTTGAATTAATGCTGAAATGAGTTAAGACTTTGGGGGACTGTTGGGAAGGCATGATTGGTTTTGAAATGTGAAAAGAGATGAGATTTGGGTGAGGCCAGGGGTGGAATGATACAGTTCGGCTCTGGGTCCCCACCCATATCACATCTTGAATTGTGATCCCCATGAGTCAAGGGAGGGAGCTGTAATCTCCATGTGTCCAGGGAAGGAGATGATTGGATCATGGGGGCAGTTTTCCTCATGCTATTCAGTAATAATCAGTGAGTTCTCATGAGATCTGATGGTTTAAGGCAGTTTTCCCTGCTTGTGCTAGGTCTCTCTTGCTTGTCGCCACATAAGACATGCCTGCCTCCCCCTCCACCATGATTGTAAGTTTCCTGAGGCTTCCCCAACCATGCGGAAATGTGAGTTAATTAAACCTCTTTTTTTTTTTTTGTAAATTACCCTGTCTCAAGTATATCTTTATAACAGTCTGAAAACAGACTAATACAGACACCTAGCATTTCTTATTAGAATTCATAATATTTATTCCTTCCCTGAGCTTAAGAGCCATTTTCAGGTAAGATGAGAACTAACATCTATTTATATAAATCCAATAAAATATATGAATTTTGATTACAAATGCTAATTTTCACTCAGTTTTAAGCTTCTATTTCTTATGCTAGTTTCTCTTCATTATGTTGCTATAGATCTACTGATTATCCACTTTATGTCTTTCTAAATATTCCTTTATTTACTGATATATTAAAATTTTTGAACAATTAACTTTATTTATCAAAGACTAACATAATTCCTGATCTCTTGGTAGTTAAGTGGGGAAGGCACATATCTATCAAATAAGCACTCTAATTTGTATATAATTAAGGCTGAAATAACTATACCAGAATTAAGGATAAAGTTTTGTAAAGACTGAAATAATCTATTAAGTCTCATGCACAGAAGAGACATAGTTCAGGAGGTATTTTGGATGAAAATTGCCAAAGATATTGTAGCTGAATCCCAAACCTGAGAAATATTCTTGGTTTTTTAGTATTTTTCCTTCATCACCACCGCCATTGCCACCATCCCTCTTCAGTCTAGTCCATTACCAAATCCCATTAGCTCCTTCTCCAAAATAACATCAAATCCAACTATATTATCTATTCTACCATCACCCTGGTTTAAGCCAACATCATCTCTAACTTGAACTTGCAGTATTTCTAAATATCTGTTTCCATTCCTGTCATCCTTTAATCCATTCTCTATATAGCAGCCAGAGAAACCTTTTATTAACCGTAAATCAGACCATGACATTTTTCTTCTTAAAACCTTGGTGGCTCTCTATAACATTCAGAATGAAGTCCAGTTTATTCAGGATAGGCTACTAGACCCTGGTTCCTGACCTTCTCTCCAATCTCATCTCATCACCATTTTATTATTTATTTATTTTTCTCCTCACTCTCTTCCTACAAGCTATGCTGGCTGCCTTTTCATTGCAAGAATAAACCAAGCTCCATACTATTTTGGTGCCTTTCAGTTTTTGCTGTCCTGTACCTAGAATGTTTTTCTCCAGTTTTTTACTTATTTGGCTCATCGATGTTAAAATCAGATCACCTCTTCAGATAGGCCTTCTCCAATAACCTTGTCTAAAGTGACCTCAAGTTATTGTATTAACTTATTTTCTCCCTCATTTAATTTTATCTCCTTAAGTTCTGTGAAAGCTATGAATTCATTCCATTTATCTTTGTTGTAGCTATCTTTGTTGGCACTTAGGTGCTCAGTAAAAATACTTTTTATGTGGATATTTCCCCAGTCTTCTTAGTAAAGTCTGAACTATAATGAAGGATCATAATCATAGCAAACATTTATGTAGTCTCCATATAAATTAATAATTGACAGTTGATGATTTCTGAAAACCATAATCCGTATTCACTCAGTAAGTGAGTATTTTATATTATAGCTGAAAATAGCTTACTTTTAAAGGTATAAAGTAAAGGATAAGGACTCATACACACTTATAAAGTCTAAAGTTGTTAATTCAGTTCAACAGATAATTTACATTTAATACTGAAATTCACTATTTACTATGTTCAGTGTTGTGTTAGGCAAGCTGTCTAGCTTAAAGGACACTAATGTTCAACATGAATTCTAAATGGAGTAAGTAATTGGAGATCTGGTATAGAAATTGAGTGAAATGCATTATTAAAATCCATGAAAACCAACAAGTCTTAGTAGTTATTCTTTACAAAAGCCATAATTAAGACCCACACCTCCCAAACTGTGCACCAGGGTACCCCAGACTGCCATAGAAAACTCTTAGGGATACCATAGGCTTTTTTTAAATTTTGAGGGAAACCAGCAACATCTGTCAGATACTATGTAAAGTACTATCTCAAGGTAGTTCGCAGTTTCAGTGTTAGATTGTACCTTTGATGATGTCACATCTTTATGAAGCTGGGTTTTGCACAGTTAACTGTGAGAAAAAGCAAGTACTACAGGAAAATTATTGTGGAAGAGGAAAGGAGGGCAACAGTATCCAATATGATTCAAAGGTTTAGGATATGTACAGGGCCCAATAGTTGTACCCATCCCATTAGTAAGTAATTGTAGTTACTATTAATAATTATTTAAAATTAATATGTTTTTACTTTCAATTTGTATCTATTATTTAACAGCTACTAATTTGTTAGGATATAAAACTTAAGTTGTTTGGACCTTACTACTTAATAAACAGAACTATTAGATACTTCTTTTACTGGGTGCCATGAAAACATTATTGAGACACCCAGAGCACCTTGAACTGAGAAAGTTTGAGAACTTCTGATATAGCCAAATTTTATTTTATTTTATTTTTATGATTCAAATATCATTTTATTGTTAATAGCATCTTTCTGGAGATCTGGTCTTCAACAGACTCTCTAGAAGAAATTTATGTTTATGATAAGTGGGAGACTATACTATAGAAGCATAGAGAAAGAGAAATAATATTTACTGGGTACCTACTATGTTATAGACATTATTTTTATTTCTTGTTTAATACTTATAGCAATCTTAAGATATATAATGATGATCTTCCCATTTTATAGACAGGGAACCAAAGGTCAAAAAAATTAGATATTTTGCTAGGTTACACAGCTAACTGGATGGTGCCTGAAGAAGCTAAAGGCTTTTTATGGCAATGACTAATGTATTATTTTCAACTTAAGAAAGTTAGTTGGATGGAGTGACAAAGGAACAAAGATCTACTATATTGTGGATTTTATTACTGTAAATAAACACTGAAGGTTACTTTTTTTTTTAAATTCTTAGTCCCTATTATTCATGCAAGTTTTTCATGTCATTTGCTGGATCATTAAATTTGAGTATATTTGGTAGTCTTATTTCCATAATAGAGAATCAGTGAAGATTGTTTTAGTGTTTCACATAGTTAAAATTGTATTTTGGTCACCTACAACTTGATAATCTATAGAAGTTAAGTACTACCGAGTTAGATTTTCATTGAATTTTTTATTTTAACTGTTTTCTTTCTTTTTTTTTTCTTTTTTTTTTTTTGAGATGGAGTTTTGCTCTTGTTGCCCGGGCTGGAGTGCAGTGGTGCAATCTCGGCTCACTGCAGCTTCCGCCTCCTGGGTTCAAGTGATTCTCCTGCCTCAGCCTCCTGAGTAGCTGGGATTACAGGTGAGCACCACCACACCCAGCTAATTTTTTGTATTTTTAGTACAGACGGGGTTTCATCATGTTGTACAGGCTGATGATAACCTGAACTCCTGACCTCAGGTTATCCACCCGCCTCGGCCTCCTAAAGTGCAGGGATTACATACGTGAGCCACTGTGCCTGGCCTATTTTGACTGTTTTCTTGCCTGTGTGCCTTGTAATTATAAAGAAATTTCTGGAACCCATACAAAGATATTTTCTATTTGCACTTCATTTTCTGTTAGCCTCTTCTGAAACTTCTGCAGTGTTTTGAATTATCTCAACCATTCTCCACATCTCTTAACCTCTGTTTCTTATTTTCTTTCTTTTTATCTCTCTTTGCTGAATTCTATATCACTTCTTGAGACCTGTCTTCCAGTTTATGAATTTTCCTTTCATCTGTATCTGATCTCCTACAGTCTTCTGAGTTTGTTTCTCCAGTCCTAAAATTATTATATGTTTCATTCATGGGAACCCTGGTTGGTTATTTTCAAATCTGCCTAGTAAGTTTTCTTACATTTTGTACTTTTCTAGGCATATTAAACATATTAATGTTTTCTAATAATTCTAATATTTACAGTATTTTTAGGTCTGGTTCTGTAGTTCGTCGTTTCTACATATACTTTTTGTGGTAGTATCCCCTTTCCCTTCCCCTTCCTCTTCCTGTTCTCCCTTCCTCTTTCTTTTTCCCCTTCCCTTTCCCCTCTTTCGGGCTTTTGAGTGAATGGAGTTCATTCCTTCATGGAGAAATTTGATTCTCCCATGCACATGGGATACTGTCAATGTGAAACCACTTTCAATTTTGGGGTGGTGTGGATTCAGGCCATAACCCTGCACAAATGTGGATTTGTGGTTATTAATTCTCAGGGAAGCCCCTTTTTCTTTTTTTTTCTTTTCATATTCTACCCAATCCAAGGTAGACAGGCATGTATCTCTTTCAACTCCCTTTTTGGAGTTTTGGTTGTTTTTCTTAGTTTATCCTTTTGGGTGTTACTGACTGCATCTGAATTTTATGTGATATGACTTCACATCCATATTGAACTCTGAAAGCCTGGCTTTTAAGCACTGGGCTCTTTAATACCAAGGCTGTAGGCCACACATCAGCAGATACCACCAGAGTCCAGCAAATACTGGCCCCAGAACTCTTTCCTTTTCTGGATTTATGATTCTTTTTTGCTTACAGCCTTTATGAATTCTTTTAGTTTCCAACCAGCCAACCGTGTGCTTAAATAAGTCTTTAAAAATGTGTATTATATTCACACTTTTTAGATGTGGTATGCTAGAAGTGACCTTAACTGAATATGTTGGTCTGCTATAGTACAAAAAAAAGCAATTCATTAAATATTTTGAATGACAGCACAGGATTCTGTGCTGACTCAAGTTAGAGCAAGTTACACACTTTAGAACTCTTCTCTGAATTTGCTGTCACTTTACCCAAAAGTAGAATTAGAACTCTTTGGCTGCCCTCACCATAGCCAAGTGACTCCTAATCCTCCAGGGAACATGTAAAATGGTAAAATTTGCCTGAAAAATACAGCTGACTTTCATAAGACTACAGCAAATTTTGAAAGGTACATTGGAGCAGTAGTAGTGATAGGAAACCAATTGTTAGGCTTTCTATATTCATTCTTGAACGGTTACCCCAAAAGAGTATCCTAAAATTCAAGTTAAAAATTAAAACACTGTTAATTTAAAACTGTCTTTTCTGTTTCAGTTTAAAATGTTAAATCAAAACAGACTTTCTTCTTACCCTAAAATAGTTACATAAGAACAGTCTGTTGTCACAGAAGTCATTCTATTATAAAGTTACTTTATTATAAAGGGTATAGTCTCTATTTAAAATGTTAAGCTACAAATATTTATCCTTTTGAGCCATCTGTACTGCTAAATACCCATAAGTATTTTAGACTAAGATCTGAAAAATGGAAATACTTTAAAACCTTTGCATTGTTGATTCTTGATTTTTTTTATGGCGTGTGTCTTGCTTTGAGCAGAAATAGATTGATGCAGACAGCTTACTTGTAAAACATTATGTTACTGTCATTTAAAAAAATAGTTTTAAACCCTCTGATGGAAAGGGGCATCTTTAGATGAAGTAATTTCATTAAAATATCCAATTCAGAATCTAAGTAAATAAACTTAAATATATAAAAATTCTTCACTTAATGTATTTATTCCCATAATAAATATGTTAATTTCATAAATTTAGAGCTCTGTTAGGTGAATTTATTTTATTATTTTAAATCATTACCTTAGCTAACCCAGAAAGTTTCTATTGAGAATGTTTGTTCCCCACTTTCTCCTCATGAAATCATTTTAATACTGTATAATACCAGGAAATTGATTAATGTCATTAATCAACTATTATTATGGATATATATTTTATTGGATGCTTATTTCATATTTCCTTTTTGGGTGGCGTTCTATTGAAACATGTGAGAAAATATTAGTAACTTGTCTACTCTGCTTACCCCCATCTTATATAAACCCCATTTCCAGAGGACTGGAAACTGGAAAGAAGAATACCTCAGGGCTGAACATGACAGGGGCTTAAGAAAAGTATCTGAGAAATTATAACCAAAAACTGAGCCTAGAATGAATTTGCAATTCAAATTCATATTGTCTGCACTGTATAAAAAAATTTACATTTTTTCTTACAGCTTTTTTTTTTTTTTTTGAGACAGAGTCTCGCTCTGTCACCCAGGCTGGAGTGCAGTGGCACAATCTCGGCGTACTGCAAGCTCTGCCTCCCAGGTTCATGCCATTCTCCTGCCTCAGCCTCCCGAGTAGCTAGGACAACAGGCACCCGCCACCACGCCCGGCTAATTTTTTGTATTTTTAGTAAAGATGGGGTTTCACTGTGTTAGCCAGAATGGTCTCGATCTCCTGACCTCGTGATCTGCCCGCCTCAGCCTCCCAAAGTGCTGGGATTACAGGCGTGAGCCACCACCCCCGGCCCCTGCTTTTTTTTTTTTTTTTTTAAACAAAACCATCAATGGAAGGAAAAACACTTTAAGTGTATGAATTTAGTTTAAAGTAGTCTATGATGGATAGTGCGTTCGGACAACTGACCAAAACAAATGCAGATTCTCTGGTGAATTCACTTTGTCCTAAAATTCAAAGAAATACCATACATTATTTACCACTGAACACGAAAAGCTACAAGGAAATGAAGTACTATGAATAAGAATCATCAGAAACACTAAGCAGCTGAATCAACCCTACATAGACATTAAATATTGGAATGATTGGATATAGAGTAAAAAACAACTATGCTTACTTAATATGTTAAACAAAATAAAACTAAAAAGCAAAAGCCTAAAAAAAATCAATAGGGAACAGCAAACTGTAAAAATGTCCTAGCAAATTTGGAAAATAATCAATTAGAAATTCTAGAATTGGAAACAAATAATCTAAATTTAAAATCACATGGAGTATAACAGCAGAACAGATACAATTGAAGAGAGAAATAGCAAAGTGAATAATAGGCTAAAAGAAATTATTGAGAATTTATCACAAAGAGCAAAAATTCAAAAACAAGAAAGAGGTTCAAAACTACACTGTTTCATGCACACTGGTGTATTTATGATATATCTCACAAAAATGTCTAAAATATAATCAAATATATGGTCAAATATGCTCATTCATCTTTAGAGCTTTCTATAAGAAGAAAACAAAAGGAAAAACATTATGTGCAACAGTAGGGGAAGGATCAGAGAGTTAATAGTTCATCCATTACAAATTATGTTACTATAAATACTTAACGTCATGAGGGAAATATTTACCTTAAGAGTATTACATTTATACATTGATCTCAAATTCAAAGAATAGTAAGATATGTTATTTATTTAACGATACATATAAAAAGAAAGAATATCTTATTTAATAGTAGAGCTTACTTCTGAATACTAGGGATACAGGTACTTTAAAATTTTCTTTGTAGGCTCTTTGTATTTCCCAGTTGTTTTAAACTGAACATTTAGTACTTAAAAAAAAAAAAAGCCAGAAAGCTGCTAATAAGTATTAAAAAGTGGTACTTAGTGATGTATTCTAGAACTTTTCTGTGCTATATCTGTGCTTTTCCTGTGGTAAGTGCTTATCATATTTTTAAAATGACTGATATTTGGCTCTTATAGATTCTTAATGTATATTTAAATGAAGTGGATGAATAATAAAAGTTAGTGGAAAATTTATAAAGAGTAAGGCCTTGAATATTTGCAACACACTGAACTGTTGATTACTGGGGATTTAAGCTGAGAGTCTTCATTTAGGTGCAATTTAGTAAGTGTCTTAGTTCCTTTTGTGCTGTTATAACAGAATACCAGAGATTAGGTAATTTATAAAGAAAAAATTTATTTCTTACAGTTCTGGAAAGCCGGGAAGTCCAGTATCAAGGTGCTAGCATCTGGTGAGGGCCTTCTTGTGGCATCTCATGGCAGAAGGAAGAAGGGCAAGAGAGCATGTGTGTGAGAGAGGAAGAAATTAAACTTGCAGCTTCAAGCCCTTTTATAATTGACATTAATCCATTCATGAGGGTGGAGTCCTCATGTCCTAAACACATCCCATCAGGTCCCAGCTCCCAACATTAGGGATTCAGTTTCCAACACATGCTTTTTGGGGAACACATTCAAACTATAGCAGTAAGCAACTTTGAAGACGTTCTTGATTTGCTTATTCAATATGTGTAAGATCTAGCAATATTTATGAGATAAATATAATATGCAAATAATTTTGTTTTAATTTATTCATATGATAAATATTTATTGAATGTCTTTTGTGTGCTACACGTTGCACTAGATTTTGGAGATGACTTGTGAAACCATATACAGTCTTTGATGAGATTTAGAGCATAGTAGAGGATATATATGTATGTATGTTACATGCATATATGATTTATTCAGGAGTATAAGGCAATTCAATATTAGGAAGTCCATTAATATAAAAGGTTGGGGGAAATGTGGAGAGTAATACCAGAGACAAACAACTATAAAAGACATGTAAGTTGTTGTCTTTGGGCAGAATCACTATGAAATGATGGTTGGATAGGTGGCAGCTGTTGTTACATCATATATATTTTATCACTGTCTTATGTTTTCAAGTTTGTACATATGTTACTTTACTAAAAATAAAAGTTAATTTTCTAGCTGACATCAAATTATTTCTTCCTCTCAAGTCCTTTGTAGCTACTGTCACCAGCAGAATATCCCATAGCCTCCTTCTAATATCTCCTCACCCTGGCAGCCTCTGATACAGGGATAAAGTCCTTTGAGTTGGCTTTGGCTCAGTTACCTTCAGTATTGTCCAATTGATTCATGATAAAAACCCGTTGTCTTTATCATGCTAAATGACCAAAGTGTAAACTTCCACCTTACTGTCCTTTCTCCTTGCCTTGCTATCTTCATTGGTTCCAGTGAGTCTTTCTTTTTTAGTCCTCTTGAGCAAAAACAAGCTTTTCCACAATTCCAAGGGATACATGTCAAACGCTCAGAATGCTTTATTGAACGCTCTTCCTTGACACCATCTCCCTAAAAATGTCAAAACACTCTAACAACACTTTTCCAAAAGGAACTCTTTTGCCTTGTTAGATTTCAACATTCTTATATCCCCCAGGGTGGTGTCACAAGTGTCAAAAACAGTTTTGAGTCTCATTGTTTACAGTTCCTTCATAGACAATATAATAAATACCTCACTTTGGCCTTAACATTCTGATACATGTTAATTGTTACACTATTTTATCCATTATAAAGCATACCACAAAATTAGAAACTAAAGAGAATTAGATTTTTTATGTATATATATATGATATCTTCTTTTAATGGATAATTATGCACATTCCTAGTATGTGTGCAGTTTGATTTGGAGACCATTATATTGAAGATTCCGTCCTGTTTGGGCAGGATTGCATATGCCCCTGAGCCTATATAGCTCTTGTTATAGAAATTTATTGTGTTGATTTTTTTCACTGTTCAATATCCCACCCCCATAGTAGAATTGATTTTTAGAAGAAACGGTGACAGTTTTTAGCAGCCATGATGGTGGCCTAGGGTTGAAGAAATATGTGATGTATTGTTAGAGTCCAAGCCATGCTGTTCTATTAAAATACTATTTTTCTTCCTGCTCTTTTTGAAGTTGATTTTATTTCTGCTTATTTTCTAAGCCTGAATTTCTGGCCTTCATTTGTTTTTGTTCTTCTTGTTTTTGTTTTTGTTTTGTTTTGTTTTTGAGACGGAGTCTCGCTCTGTCACCCAGGCTGGAGTGCAGTGGCGCGATCTCTGCTTACTGCAAGCCCGGCCTTCTGGGTTCACGCCATTCTCCTGCCTCAGCCTCCCGAGTAGTTGGGACCACAGGCGCACACCGCCATGCTTGGCTAATTTTTTTTTGTATTTTTAGTAGAGACGGGGTTTCACCATGTTAGCCAGGATGCATTTCTTTTTTTTTAATACTTAAGTTTCTTTTTCTTGTTTAAGAAAGTTGGAGTTAGGACTGTTGTTCATTCACAACAAATTGACACCACTGCCTTAATATCATAAAGACTCTGTATTGTTTCAGTTGTTTGCTCATTGGGAAAATACTCCAGGGTGAGGCCTCCCTTACATCTGAGGGACCTGATTCCCTGTGTAGAGAGTTCTTTTTTTTTTTAATTGTTCCAGTTTATACTTCTGGTAGACTTTTAATCTTCCCCCCCACTTTAAAGTCCCAGTATGCCCCACTATAAATTGAAACATTGTGTTCTAGTCTTTATCTACAAACTTAGAGAAAATTAATTACTTTTCAAGGTAACATATTCAATTTTATTTTCTTTTTTCTTAGATCACTCCAGTATATCCAGCAAACTCCCTTAAACTAAGCCCAAACTGGTGTTGTTGCCTGTTGCAATTTCCTTCACTAGAGCATCCAGAAAAGCTTACTTGCCTTTGCATATAAAATCTCTTACTTTGGGAGGCCGAGGCGGGCGGATCACGAGGTGAGGAGATCGAGACCATCCTGGCTAACACGGTGAAGCCCCTTCTCTAGTAAAAAAAAATACAAAAAAAATTAGCCAGGCGTGGTGGCTGGTGCCTGCAGTCCCAGCTACTTGGGAGGCTGAGGCGGGAGAATGGCGTGGAAACGGGAGGCGGTGCTTGCAGTGAGCGGAGATCGCGCCACTGCACTCCAGCCTGGACGACAGAGCGAGACTCCATCTCAAAAAACAACAACAACAACAAAAAAACTCTTTAATTGCTTTAAAACAGCTAACCAAGTCTTATTTCCTTTATCTTCTTGTATTTTTCTTATATTACCTTGGCAAAATGAAAAATTTGGGGATTTAGTGTTTGCCAAGTCACCATATGGATAAATCACCACTAGTGAAGAATAAACTATATCCATATTATGTTACTTTAAATGAAACGATTACATTTCATCATTACCCTCAGAATTAAACCTGTTATTTACACTACTACTTCTCATCCTTTCTTCTAATAGGCTCCAAGCTTTCTCCTTTTTCATCTTTCATCTATCCCAATAAAAACATAACTTCCAATTTTAATTAGAATAGCTATATATAATAGGTTGACCAACTGTGTATCTTCTGTAGCCTTCTGCCTATAACCTGATTATAAAATTGCTTTAACTAAAGTAAGTTACTGCCTATTCTGAGTTACTCTATTACACAAAATTTAATTTTATTACGCTACTTTCTTTTCCATATTATTTTCCTCCTAGCCTCTTCCAATTCTTTGTCTTCTTGATCTCCCTTATTAATCCTTTTCTCAGGGAAGGAAGATCTGATCAGCCAATTCACTCCAAGATTTAAGTGACTAGTGGTTGGAAATCTGTTCCTCTTCAGCATTACCTGTAATTTAAACAAGGAATTAAGTTGTATTGGCTTTGGTGAGGCACAACGTGTGTTTGTATATGAGAATGAGTTCTTTATAGCACCCATTCAGTCACACAAGGCTACCTACTTGTAAGTCTAATGTTTAGAGTAAACAGTGAATTATCTAATACATTTTGCATTTCTTACACCTTGAAAGAATGTTGATAAATTTCCTTATACAAGTAGTCTGATCTGATGTTAGACAAATAGTGAATACTCAGTTTTATTGATTAATTGAGTGCATTTTCAGAATACTGAAAGATTAGGAATTGTGGTTGACTGAGCATTTTGTTAAGATGTTATTAGAGACAAATACAAAAAAATTCTGGCTCTCTGGATTGGACTCTGTGTAGATTGATTCCATCTGTAAAAGGTGCCTCATCTTTGACAGTAGATATTTTAGTCACTGTTACTTGTTAGAGATTCAATATAGCAATGCAATTTTTTTTTATTTACTTATAAGGATTTATGATACCAAGTTGTATTTGACATTTGGATTAAATCCTGAGGGGTAAGGAAGATTCGTCCCTGTGGTAGAAGTTTCTAAAGTCTTAAGTCAAATGAATTCTACTTACACTTTAGTTAGAAGGCCATTTAAGACAAACGTGCCTTAAAAGATCAAGTTTTTCAGTGTTAAAATTCTACATCTCAATATAGGTTATGAATACTACATTAAGTTCATTTGGTTATGAATTCATTATTTTCACCTTTTGCTGCTATTGTTATACTTCAACTCTCTTATTTTTACAACTTTTTATTTTGAAAACTTTCAAACTTTAAAAAAATGTTGGGACAACAGTATAATGAACAGCTGCACTCTGCACACCTAGATTCTCATGATTGAGAATACATGCTGTATCTATTTATATCTCTGTCTTGCCTTCTCTCTATATATAACTTAAAAACTGTTTCAGACATAGTGACACTTTACCCCTGAATACTTCAGCATGTTTCCCTAAAATTAAGGACATTGTTCACCGTACTCTTATCATATGCTGGAAATGTTAACATTGAGACAATAATATCATAAAATATAACATACAAACCTATTTTTAGATTTCTCCAATTATCTCAAAATATTATTTATAGATTTTTTGATTCAGTATTCTGTGAGGGATTATAAATGATAATTTGATAGTGATATGTCTTCACCATTTTGTTATATATTGTCAGAAATTTGATGTAGAATAATTCATATGTTAGCAACTGTGGAAAGTGTTGCCAATTATGAAAAAAATGTAAATTTAGATAATTTAGAAATAGTCCACTAAGACTTTTATTATATAGTTGATTATATTAATTAAAGTAACTTGAATTCCTTGACAGTTTACTTATGTATAATGAGTGTTCATGATGCCCTAATTGAATTTTTATTTTTTTAAAATTTAATTTTTAAAAATAATAATAATACAGTAAAAAACCCTTTGTGATCTTTCTTAATAGTCACATCATCACTCTACCCTGCCTATCACAGATCTGTTTTACATCACTATAGTTTGTGTTTTTAAGAATGTCAAATAAATAGAATCAGAAAGTATGACCAGCTTCTCTCAGAGTAGAGTCTCTGAGATATATCCAAGTTGTGTATGTCAATAATTTATTCATTTTTATGGTAGATAGTATTCCATTGTACATATATACCATAGTTTGTTTATCTACTAACCCATTGAAAGACATTTGGGTTGCTTCCAGCTTTTGGCTGTCACAAATAAATCTACTGTTAATATTTGTATATAAGTTTTGGTATGAACATAAGTTTTCATTTCTCTATAAATACCCAGATGTACAATTGCTGGCTCATATGATAAATGTATACTTAACATTATAAAAACCCGCCAAACTGTTTTCCAACATCTGCATCATTTCAGTATTAGGCTCAATCAATTGTCTTATCCCATGTGAATTTGTATCCTGTATTACTTTATAAGACTCTGAGTCTTATTTAGATCCTGTGGAAAATATTGATATTTTTGTTTTGGCCTTCTGTGGATTGTGTGGTTCTAACCTTGGCTCTATTTTACAAGACTTTGGTGTGCAATTTGGATCTGTCATGAATGTGTACCCTCTAGTGGTCACTCTGGGACCAGCTTGTAGATCTGTTCTTAGCTAAGGCCTTTAAATATTTGATATGCTAATTAGTATCAAATCCATAAATGGGCAGATCCAGGGTGAGTAAAAGTTCAAAACAACTTTATGTAGTTGCTTTCCTGGTCTCCCTTCCCTAAGTACTTTCTACTTCCCTTGGGGCTGTTTTTTTTGTTATTGTTGTTCTTCAAAAAAGAAATTGTTTCTTTCTGCAGTTTTACGACATCCTCACACCATTTAGCACTGGTGATAAGATGCCACCAAGGCTACATGGTGGGAAGACAGGGACATAGGGAAAAAATTCTACAGGGTTTGGTGCTGCCCTTTTGGCATTGCTGCTTCTCTGAAAGGTAGGTCGACCTCCCTCAGAGTTTTGACTCCTGCAGTCTCTCATTTCTGTCTTCTTTTATTTTAGCTGCCATGGGACTGTTCAGGGTTTGGGGCATAGAAAAATGAGGAAGAGGAGAGGGGGAAACAAAATAACCTGGAGATTTCTCCTACTCTTTCTCTGTCTGCACTGTAAGTGTTCAGAAAATTTCTCCTGGACCTCACTCACACCACATAGTGCTCAGTTCTGGGTTTCTGGCTTCAGAGGTAGTGGAGGAAAATAAATGTTAAACTCAACATTGGTATTCTTCCCTCATCTGTCTACTAGTGTTAACTTTTCAGAGTTTTCAGATAAGTCTCTAGCCAGGTTTTTTAGTTGAATTAGCATGAGATAAAGAGAGTCTGGTCTTATTTCATCTTACTGGAATCAGGACCCCTAATTGATTTTTAAATGGTATTGTTGATACAATTGTCAGGCCATTTATTTCAGTATTTCACTAAGTAACTTCTAAACTGTGAAAAAAGTAATTATAAAATAAACATCAGGTATTTTTGTTCTTATTTGTATCTTTGACATGAGATAAAGTTTGTGGAAGATTTAACAAGAACATCATAAGAAGTTGACTATAAATTAGATGTTAATTCATTAATTTATTCACTCCACAGAAATTAAACGAGTACTGACTCTTGGCCTGGGATTGCAGATATTATAATGAACAAGATAGGCAGAGCTCCTTCTCAGGACGGGTTAATAGATTTGAGACAGTCATTTATAGTACATTGTAAAAAAAAAAAACAAAACTGCCCCAGAGTTAATGTTAAAAATTGTTTTATTATTTTTTCTTTAAGATAAAACTTTTAAGGGGTCAGGACTCTGGTAATGTTGAATGTACATTAATGCATTTATGTATGGACATAGCTGAGGATTTTGTTAAAATGTGCCTTAAATGATTACATAAATTAAATAAGCAATTTGTTCAGCAGGTTAAAAGGAAGATATTTCATATTTTTGTAAATGAACACATGAAATTTTTTCCTTTAAGATTTTAAATGCCAAATTATTTACTTAGGTAGTGAACTATAGTGTTAACATTAAATAAAAAGAGATCTACATATCTACTCCTATTTCTGTATTAATAAACTGTGATGATGTATCAATAAGTAGGATCATGTGCCATTAGGACTTGAAATAATGGAATATGGTACGTCCTAAAGCTTATTTTGTCATTCATCTAGCCAATAATATTAATTACTTAATATCACTGCTCAAGCTATCATCTTTGAGAAATACTGATTTAACAATAGTTTACACTAAATATGTAAAAAATAATTTTAAAGTCAAGCAAACCATAGGTTAATTACCCCATTACTTGAGAATGCAAAAAAAATACTTTTACTATAGTACTTATTAATAAACTCATTTTTAAATTTAAATTGCAAAAGTTATCACAGGCTTTCTATGGTATATGGAATTATAATAACATACTTTTAATTGATGTTTGTTGGAATTCACAGCATTTATAGACTTTTTAAATAGACTTTATTTTTTGGCAGTTTTAGGTTCATAGCAAAATTGAGCAGACAGCTCAGAGATTTTCCCATATACCCCCTGCACCCTTACATGCATAGCCTCCCCCATTATCAACATTCTTTACCAGAGTGGTATATTTGTTGCCATTGAAGCTACATTGACGTATCATTATTACCCGATCCATACTTTATAGTAGGATTCACTGTTGGTGTTGTATATTCCATGGGTGTGGACAAATGTATTATGGCACCATTATACAGGTTGAATATCCCTTATCCAAAATGTTTGAGACCAAATTGTTTCTGATTTTGGATTTTGGAATATGTGTATATATGTAGTGAGAGATATTAGAGATGGGACCCAAATCTAAACATTAAATTTATTTATGTTTCATCTACACATGGCCTCAAGGTAATTTTATCCAATATTTTAAATAATTTTAGGCATGAAGCAAAGTTTGCCTAAAACGAACTATAAGAAAGCAAAGATGTCAAGTGTGGAATTTTCCACTTGTAGTGTCATGTTGGTGCTTAAAGTTTTTCAGGTTTTGGAGCATTTCAGATTTCAGATTTTCAGCTTCAGAATACTCAAACTGTAGTATAATCTAGAGTAGTTCCACTGCCCTAAAAATCCTCTGTATTCTACCTATTCATCCCTTTCTCCTCACAAGCCACCAGCAACCATGGATATTTTTAATGTCTCTATAGTTTTGCTTTTTCCAAAATGTCATATAGTTGGATTCTTATAGTGTGTGTCCTTTTCAGATAGGCTTCTTTTAGTTAGTAATATGTGTTTAAGTTTCCTCCATGTCTTTTCATGGTTTGATAGCTTATTTCTTTTTACCATTGAGCAAAAAGAAATGAGTTGTTTATCATCCACTCACCTACTGAAGGACATCTTCGTTGTTTACAAGTTTTGGCCATTATGAATAAAGTCTGTATAAATATCCACATACAGGCTTTTGTGTGGACATAGTTTTCAATTCCTTTGAGTAAATACCATGGATTATGATTGCTGCATCATGTGGTACAGTGTGTTTAGTTTTGTAAGAAACCACCAGACTGTCTTCCAAAGTAGCTATACCATTTTGCATTCTCACCAGCAATAAATGAGACTTCTTGTTGTTTCACATTCTTGCCAGCCTTTGGTATTATCAGTGTTCTGAATATTGAACATTCTAATAGGCTTATAGTCATATCTCCTTGTTTTATTAATTTGCATTTTACTGATGATATATGATGTGGAGTATCTTTTCACATTATTATTTGTCATCTGTGTATCTTCTTTGGTGATGTGTTTGTTAAGGTCCTTGGCTCATTTTTCAATAGAGTTGTTCATTTTCTTATTGTTGAGTTTTAAAATCTCTTTGTATATTTTGTATAACAATTCATTATCAGATTTGCCATTTGAAAATATTTTCTTCCAGTCTGTGGCTTGTCTTTTCGTTCCCTTCACAGTGCCTTTTACAAAGCAGGGTTTTTTTTTTAATTTTTAATTTTTGTGAGCATATAGTAGGTCTGTGTATTTGTAGGATTCATGAGATATTTAGATATAGGCATACAATGCGTAATTGTCACATCAGGGTAAATGGAGTATCCATCACCTCATGCATTTATCCTTTCTTTGTGTTACAAACAATCCATTTATACTCTTTTAGTTATTTTTATATGTACAATAAATTACTGTTGACTATAGTCACCCAGTTTTGCTGTCAACAGAGTTGTTAATTTTAATGAAATCTAACCTACTGTTTCTTTCTTCCAAGGATGTTGCCTTTGCTGTCATATCTAAAAAGTTATTACCAACCCAAGGTCATCTAAATATTCTTCTATTCTAGGAGTTTTATATTTTTATGTTTTACATTTAGGTCTGATTCATTTTGAATTAATTTTTGTGAAGGCTGTCAGGTCTGTGTTTAGATTCATTTTTTTTGCACATCATGTCTTTTAAGATTCTGAGTTCTTTCGGAAGACATTCCTTGGCTGGGATTCCAATTTTGGCTCTGCAAGGACATATCACTACTCTCATACTAAAAATCAGACTTATAATTGTAGTCTCTGTTTTCCAAGTCAGGAAATAAGGAAAGGACCAGGACACCAGTAGTAGCCATGGTCTTAAGGCTCCAAAAAGATGTAGAGAGGAAAATACATAAATACATTAACTTAGTGGAGGTGAGGGAGGAGGATGACCTTGGTGCCCCCTCACTTTTTTAAGCACAGGTAAAGTTGATTCATAATAATGTCAACATGTACTTCTTTAATTTTTTGGTAGCAGGAAAAAGGTAAATTAAAGCTTACCAATGTTTTGTAAAATTCTAAGTATCACTGGCCCTCTTGTATTTTATCAATGCTGAAAATGTGATGCTTGAATCCAAAAACAAATGAAATCAAGGTTTGATTAAACCGGTTCTAAGACTTCATTACTTTGCTACTTCTGACTTACTGCCACATATTACTATTACTCCTAATTGTACTAGGTTGCTTTGGTTTGGATTCCAGCAAACGAGGTAAGTTGGCACAAGTGACCTAAAAATAAAGTTTTTGTACTGCTGGGATATCATTTGGCTGGTTTTCTAATTTTGTTGGGCTTGGATCAGAATTAATTATGTGTTATTTTCATATCAATGTCAAGTCTGTATTTATAGCATTCTTTTTTTTTAGAAGTCACAGAATTTTTAAAAGTAGCAGAAAAACAATAAATGATATTGAAAAAATTTTAGTACTTACATTTTCGTCATGATCTTCTAAAGCCTCCTAAAAGAAACATTGCTCTTGTGAATGGTGCTGCAGTGAACCTACACATTCACGTGTCTTTATAATAGAATGATTTATATTACTTTGGATATATACCCAATAATGGGATTGCTGGGTTGAATGGTATTTCTGTCTCCACGTCTTTGTGGAATCACCACACTGTCTTTCAGAATGGTTGAACCAATTATATTCCCACTAACAGTCTATAAGCATTCTGTTTTCTCTGCAACCTCACCAGCATCTGTTATTTTTGGACTTTTTAATAGCCATTCTGATGGCTATGAGATGATATTTCATTGTGGTTTTTATTTGCATTTCTCCAATGATCAGTGATGTTGAGCTTTTGTTTATATGCTTGTTGGCTGCATGTATGTCTTCTTTTGAGAAGTGTCTGTTCATGTCGTTTGCCCACTTATTAATGGGGTTGTTTGGATTTTTCTTTTAAATTTGTTTAAGTTCCTTATAGATGCTGGATACTAGACTTTTGTCAGATGCATAGTTTGCAAAAATTTTCTCCCGTTCTGTAGGTTGTCTGTTTATTCTGTTGATAGTTTCTTTTGCTGTGCAGAAACTCTCCATTTGTAGAGCCCTGCAGGATAGATTTAGCATAATTCTTGAAGACCCTAGTATTTTCAGAATGGTCAATGAGCATTGGCTTCAACTTAAAGTCACTAGCTGCACTAGTCCCTACCAAGAGAGTCAACCTGTCCTGTGAAGCTTTGAAGCCAGGCATTGACTTTTCCTCTCTCTATGTGAAAGTCCTAGATGGTATCTTCTTCCAGTATTTAAGGTTGTCTTATCTACATTGAAATTCTGTTATATAGAATAGCCACCTTCATCAATGATCTTAGCTAGATCTTCTGGATAACTTACTGCAGCTTCTACACTAGCACTTGCTGCTTTACCTCGTATGTTTTTGTTACAGATATAGCTTCTTAAACCTCATGAAGCAACTTCTGCTAGCTTCCAACTTTTCTTCTGCAGTTTCCTCACCTCTCTCAGCCTTCATAGAATCGAAGAGAATTAGGGCCTTGTTCTGAATTAGGCTTTGGCTTAAGGAAATGTTGTGGCTTCTATCAAGACCACTCAGACTTTCTCCATATTAGCAATAAGGCTTTCTCTCTCTTGTCATTTGTGTATTCACTGGAGTAGCACTTTTAATTTTTTTCAAAAACTTTCCCTTTGTATGCACTACTTGGCTTTTTGCCATAAGAGAAGGTTATCTCAGCTTTTGACATGCTTTCTTCTCTAGCTTATTCATTTCTAGCTTTTGATTTAAAGTGAGAGATATGTGACTCTTCCTTTCACTTGAATAGAAACCACTGTAGGGTTATTAATTGGCCTAACGATGTTGTTTCTCAAGGAATAAGGAGACCCAAGAAGAGGGAGAGAGACAGGAAAATGGCCAGCTGGTCGAGCAGTCAGAACACACACATTTACTGATTAAGTCCCCTGTCTTATATGGGCTCAATTGATGTTGACTCCAAACAATTACAAGAGTAATATCAAAGGTTAATTATTACAGTTTACAATAGCAGACATGATATTAATGAAAAAGTTTTAAATACTACGAGAATTACTAAAACGTGACACAGACGTGAAGTGAGCACATGCACTTGGAAAAATGGCCCCAGCAGACTTCCTTGACATGGGTTGCCAGAAACCTTCAGGTTGTGAAAAGCACAATAAAGCGAAGCACAATAAAAAAATGTGTTTCTTAAACAACAAGACTATAATGGACAAGAAAGAGCTGAGACTAGAGACAGGAGACCAACATGTTAATCTTAAGTCAGGAATCCTAAAGTGAAGCAATAGGAGTGGTTAAAAAAAAAAAAAAAAGAGAAGAGAGATTGATTTAATAAATAATTGTAATATAGAATTAGTAGCATTGAATCCTGATACACCCACAGAAAATATATACAAACGTGTTTAAATAATGAAAATTTATGGTAGATTCTGTTATTGGCCCTGATTTTCAACCATGTCCGTCAAAGCCCTTTGCCATATAATTTTTTAGGAACCCACTGTTGGGGGTGGAGTGGACTTCCTTGCCTTATGAATTTGTATTTGACCACTTAACTTGTTGTTACCAATGGATAGAGCCCCTGGGTATATACTTACTCTCTTGTACATCCACCATGCAATAAGAATATGTGTGACAGTATTTTGGTGTCAGGAGAAGGATGAGAGATACATGGGGGAGAGCTACTCCCAGGCCTGGACCAGATAATTCTTCAGTTAGCCATGTACTCATGAATGAACCCAGCTGAGCCCAGCCTGGAGCAGCCATTTTTTAAGCAGTGCACAGATTTAGGATAAATAATAAGTTATGATTGTTTTAAGCCCCTGAGTTTTAGGGTGGCAGTCATAGCTAACTGATATAAAGTTTCTATTCTGCCAAAAAAAAAAAATTTTAAAGAAAGTTATATTCTATTCTATTTTCACACATCAATTGATGTGAAAACAAAATATAATCTACTGATCCAACAGGAAAACTGCTTGCATTATTGGTTTTATTTATTAGACTGCCTTAATGCAGCAATCACGCAGCTAGAAAGGGAAAAATAAAACGAATATAATTTATAAAAATAGCTTTATTGAGATATACCTTATATATCATAAAATTTACTTATTTTAAGTGCACAATTCAGTGATTTTTAGTATACTTATTTTTGCCACTGTCACCACAATGTAATTTCAAACATTTCCATCATCCCAAAAGAAATCTCTGTGCCCATTACCAGTCACTTTTTTTCTCTCCCACCTCCAGCTTAAGACTATGTAACCACAAATCTACTTCCTATCACTATAGATTTGCCTATTCTAGACTTTTCATAGCAATAGAATTATACAACATATAGGGATTTTTGTGTTTAGCTTTTTTCACTGAGCATTTTTTAAGGTGCTTCTATATTGAAGCATGTTTTAGTAGTTCTTTTTTATTTCTGGATAGTAATCCATTATCTGAGTTTATCACATTTTGTTTATTTATTCATCAGTTAATGGATATTTGAGTTTTCCACTTTTTGTCTATTATCAATAATGGTATGAACATTCATTTACAAGTGTTTGTACAAACATTATGTTTTTATTTCTCTTAGATAAGTACTTAGTTGTAGTAGAATTTCTGGGTCATATGGTGACTCTGTCTTCAGCATTCTGAGAAACTTAAAGTTTTCCAAAGTGACTGTGCCATTTTACACTCCCACCAGAAATTTATGAGGGAAAACTGATAGTAATTTAATTATACTGAATATTCAATTTATACTACTAGTGACTTTCATATCATAATACAGAATGATAACTATATATAAAAGATAATAATCAGATAATCTGAAAATAATAAAACTGTGAAATGTACTTCTCTCTATAGTGAGTCATATGTGTAAGTTATGCAGCAGGTGAAGAAATGTGTAAGATAGGCCTTTTAAAACACAATCTTAAATCTTATTAAGGTTTTCTAGAGTAATATAAATAATGCGATAATAGAAATAAGATCTACTTATTTTCTACTATTCTGTAAAATTATTAAATAATTAAATTTTCTTTCTATAGTAATCTTGTTACACCAAGCTCACTTTGTACTATTGTGCCTATACAGAAATTACACTAATTTTTCCTCCATTAAAACATTAAAATAGCCTTTTGACTTTTATAGACTTCAGAGAAGTTGTCATTATATCTCAAGTGCTATGAATGTGAACTGTGGGAATGTGAACTTTACTAAGAATCAATTATATAGCCTAAGTTGGTGTTTTATATTTGTTTTTCCTGCACTGTTATGGAAACCTGTAAAATATGTTAACATTGAACTATTTGGTCTTATTTAGACAGTATTTTATCTTACAATGCTGTATGATGAAATCCTGCACTCAAATAAAACATTAATCAGCAGAACTTAAATAAAAATATATGACTGTTAATTTTGTAGTCTTCCTACTTGCTTAGAAATTAAATTTCTAATAAATCTTTGTCTCTGATTTTGTGCAAAACAATGCTATTGGCTGGTGACTTCACTGTCTAAGAATATGGATTTATAAAGGTATAGAGAGTATCGGTTATATAGAGGTATCAGGTAAAGTTCATGCAAGCCAAATATTTTTAAGCATTCAATGGTGTTTTCTTGTAGGAATTAAATGTATTTATTAGCTTGACTTTACTGACTATGTTTGCTTAATATTAATCTATTAGAGCATAACTGCATAACATGGGTTTTAAATGAAGCTTGCTGTTACTCTAAATTTATGTCACAAATGTGGCTCTGGGAAATTTTTCAAGTTTGTCTCAGTGCTTTAAGCCTTATAAAAATGAGCAAGTAACTCATAAATAATAGACAGTTCCTCAGAAGTCATTTAAAGTGCACTCCTTTTATTGGCAAAATTTCCATATGTTCTTTGGCTCTTTGAGATGTAGACTCTGTAGAGCTATTTAACTACCATTATTTTCTGGTGATTTTTTTCAGGTACCTTTCTTTATGATTTATGGTTCTGTAAAATCTTACCTCAGTGTGTAGCTAGAATTATTTAGTCACATATTTTTAAATAATTTTAAAATTTCGTAAAAATTCCTGTGACCCATGAACATCATCAACCAATGTTATGAGATAAAATACTTCCCTCCCCAAATTAGAATGCTTTTCTTTCATATATTTCAAGCGTGAGTCAGAATTGGAAAGGTACTAATTTAAATGCATTGTGCTTTCTCTAAAGTGGACAAAAGGAAAATAATAGTTAATAAGAGAGCTTTCTAGCATGGTACCAAATAAATATTTGGGCTGGTGAATGAGCAAGAGAAGTACAACAATCCACTTGTCCTGACTTTCAAGAGTTTTCTCCTTGCCAACTTATCACATTTGTAATTAATTAATATTTGTGCATTTATCTGCTTAATGTCTTCCTCTCTTTATTATAAGTTGTATAAACACAAAGATTGTCTATCTTATTCTCTCCTTTACCTCTAACCCCAGGATATTGTGGGGCACATGGTAGAAGTTGCTCAAAAAAGTTTTTGTTGAATATATTCATGAATTTGAATGTTTTGCCCTACAAATTAACTTTAAAAGTACTTATGGAGTACATGCCGATTTAATATACCTATAATAAATATGAATATTCATTGCATGTGTACATGTCAATATTTAACAGCTATCATTTATTTAATGCTTTTTTTCAACTTTACAAAGTGCCCTAACATATTTTTTTAAATGTTTGTTGCTCACAGTAATCCTGTGAGGCATATGATGATATTGCTGTCATTCCTCCATATCCACAGGTTTCTTATCTAAACCTGTGGTTGTGTAGGCAGGGGCACAACTGTGCTTTGCATCCACAGATGTGGAGGGCCAACAGAACTCGAGCATCCTCTGCATTTTGTATCCACGGTGGTCCTGGAACCAATCCTCCATGGATATGGAGAGTCAACTGCATTTCCATTTTATAGGCAAGCAATATGGAGTTTAGATTAAAAAAAATTGTTTGCTCCAAGAACACATAAGTTTTTAAGTGATCAATCCTGGACTTGAATCATTTGTTTTTACTGTCTTTTGGATGGCAACATTAACTTTGTACCATATACCTAGTTCTTCATTAATTAAGAGATGGTTACAAAATTAAGATACATATAATTGTCATAAGATCCTCAAATAAATAAATGCTTTCAGTTATTTTACATGTGCTGAGAATAGTAGTCACCTTTGATAATGAGAATGAAGTATAATAAATCTAGGTTATGATGTTTATTTAAGTCTGAATCATGTAAAACAGAACAGGCATACTTCTAAACTAATTCTGTTAGACAGAAATAGAAATCCCTGACAATTAATGAAGTAGCACATAGTGGTCTTTGAATTACCTGAATTAGTTATTTTCTTACATATGCCACAGATACTTGAGTTCAGCTCATTAAATTTTCTATTATTTCATTAAAACCAATGCAGTTAGCGGTAATAGGGGAGTGAAAGGAGAAGGAAATTGTGTAGAGCAAGATACTTTATTTGAGAGTGGTTATGTATGAGGTGGAGGTGGGGAATCCAGGAAAACCATGGAGTTATGAAAAAATTAAAACTCATTGGTATATTTTATTTGAACTAAAGTTGATACAATCTCCAAGAACTAGAAGTATTTATTACATAAAATCATCTTTTTCAAAAGTATATGTAAACCTTAATTGCTGTCAGAAAAATATGCACAATAGTGTGTATACTTGCATTAAAAAGGGATATATATATATATACACGCACACACACACACACAAATATAAATGGGAGATATAAGTGCAATTGCATTTATTGATTGATTGAGACCAATTCTCACTCTGTCACCCAGGCTGGAGTGCTGTGGCACTATCTCAGCTCAGTGCAGCCTCCACCTCCTGGGTTCAAGCGATTCTCCTGCCTTAGCCTCCCGAGTAGCTGGGATAACAAGCGCGTACCACCCTGTCCAGCTAACTTTTGTATTTTTAGTAGAGACAGGGTTTCACCATGTTGGCCAGGCTGGTCTCAAACTCCTGGCCTCAAGTAATCTGCCCACCTCAGCCTCCCAAAGTGTTGGGATTACAGGCGTGAGCCACCACACCTGGCTGCAATTGCTTTTATATGCATAGAGGGACACATAAAAATCTGGTTGGCAGGGTAGGGAGGAAAACTTTTTACTGTATGCACTTCCCTAACATTATAGTTATTTTTACCATGTGAATGTGTTGTGGTCTTTCTGCTCCTTAATTCAGCTAGGTCCAAGTCTTTTTCTCACAACCAGGAAGAATTAGGCAGGCATGTGGACACTGTACAGTGAGTGGAATAGAATTTATTAAGTGAAAGGAAAAATTCTCAGCCAAGAGGGGATGTGGTGGGGAGGGGTGTTTCCCCCACCCAAAGGTGGGAAAATTCCCCGTGTAGCTGGTCCTGGGCCTTTTATGGACTTAGAATGGGGAGTATGTGCTGATTGGTTTGTGATTATGCAAAAAAGGTTAAAGTGAAGACACCACTCAAAGGTGGGCACGACAGTGTAGAAAACCAATTAGGAAAGGGTAGGTATATATAAAGTAGGTGAAGGTGGGGATCAGTCAGAGGAAAGGCTGCCACACAGGAAGACAAGTTATCGATCCAGTCCAAAGGTTAAACTTGTAGCTTGGCTTTCAGGCTTTAAACTGTCTTTGGCTTGAAAGTGGGATTTCACAGGGGACCCACCCCCTATCTGCCTAGGCATTTGGCTGCCTCCTATCACTCTAATTTTCCCCCTCTGAAAAGGTACCTCTAACTGCCATTAGAATAGGAATGAAGACGATCTTAACTGCTTTCTGCTGATAGAGGGCACTGTTTGGGGAAAATAGCAGTCAAATCTCCCTCAGAGGCTTGTCTAAGGATCCCCAGTAAAAGGGAGCCATCGTTTGAAGCTACAGTTGCGTGACCATTTTGAGTTTGATGGCCTGAAGGCGAGAAGAGAGAAACTGGGTTATTAGAAGACATGTATCAAAATGAAAAAAGGGGGTAAGGACAGCTTAGAAATCCTGAGGCTGCCACCATGCCAGGATAACTGGTGGCTGTAGTTGTACCTGCTAAGGTTTGGGTGCATGGGGCTTGGCTTTGGTTAGCTCCCTTGGCCTTATTTTCCCAAAGAAACCTCCGGGTTATGGGTACCCCATTTATTTCTATCACCTGGCAGGATTTGCAGGATAATTGCCCAGAACTAGAATATTGATCCAGAATTTTACTTTACCCATCCCTCTGTTTCTTGTGAGCTGCAGCCAGAGACCACTGTTTGGTTCACAGGGTTAGTCTAAAACGTAGGCAAAAACTTAAAAACAAATAATGAGATTAGAATTTAATGGCAAGTGTATGATAAGTTTTGAAACATAATTTTTCTCTCTCTAGTCCTCATTTTTGTCAAAAACAAATCATGATAGGACTGAGTTGTTTGCAAAATAAATTTTAATCTTATACTTGGCTTGAATATTTGCATAAAGTGCAGCAAGAATAATTATTTTTCACGTAGGCTTTTAAAATTGGCTTTGATGGAACTCTGTTCCACAAGGAATCTCAGATAAGACTTTCTTAAAGCCGAGCCCAGCCATGGGTTTCTACCCTCAAATGCCTGTGATTTGGGTAAATTCCACTCTTGAGGTCCCAAGATAACTTGGGGTTCCTGGGTCTATTAGAAAGTGACATTCTTTACTCACCACAGGTTAGGAACCCTGTATAGGGACTGTGTAGACAAGGTATGAGGCCAGTTTTCCCAAGGGGCTCTGCAAGTCAAACTTGACTCCTTAAAGGAAGGCATAACCTTCTACTCAAAGCCTTGGTAAAACAACCAGTTTCTCTAATTGTGTCCTGTTGCAAAAGAAAATGGATTCTTATTGCACTGATGCAAATAACAATATTACCATAAGTTAAACATACTTACTGTTGTTGGTTTAAAGTCTTTTTTATCTGAGGTAAGAATAGCAACCCCTGCTCTTTTTTGTTTTCCATTTGCATAGTATTTCTCCAGCTCTTTACTTTAAGCCTGTTGGTGTAACGTGAAATGGGTCTGTTGAAGATAGCAGAGGGATGAATCTGGTTTTATTATCCAACTTGCAACTCTGTTACTTTTAAGTGCAGCATTTAGACTGTTTACATTCAAGGTTAATATTGATATATGAGGCTGCTTTGATCATATGGTGAAGTTGTTAGCTGGTTGTTTTGTAGTTTCCATTGTGTGACTGCTTTATAGGGTCTGTGCACTGTATACATAAGTGAAATATGTAATATAACTAATTAAAATCAAATATTGAAAATTTAAATTAGAGAAACTTCTGAATTATAGTTTTTGTATATTTTTAGAATAGATTTATTATTTTACATGTATACAATTACTAAGATAATCACAGGCCTCTGTTTAAATTATTGCTTTCTCAGAGGTTAAATAGCACCACCCAATCTAAAGTTGTTTTCATGCATTATGTCACATCATCCTCTTTATAATGTTTTCTTTACAGCACTTACAATATTTGAAATTTTCTACTTATTCATTTACTACCCATTTCCCCCGGTAGAATGTAAGATCCATGAATACAATTACTATATGTGTTTTGTTAACTTTCTATCTAGCACATGAAATAATGCCTAGCACATAATAAGTTCTCAGTGAATATTCAGTGAAAGAACAAAAGTGTTTAGAAGTATTATTTTAATAAATAGATAAAATTTTAGTAGTGTATCAAGAGTCTTTATAATCTTTAGAGAGCCACAGTGTTTCTTGTGTAGTTTAAAAATTACTCTGTAATCTCATTTAATTATGTTTTGCACGCTTTGTATATTGTAAGAGGTTAATTTATATGAGGTCTGTCAAATTGTCATATAATCTATAAGTTTTTAATGAATGTTTATTGTATCCATATTATATGAAATAATTACAATGGGTTGGTGGGGGCCCACGCGGGTTCAACATGCATATCGAGAAGTGTTATTTCTGTTCAGGGCCCATCTACCCTGGCCACAGCATGATGTTCATCCACAATGATTGCAAGGTGTTCAGATTTTGTAAATCTAAATGTTATAAAAACGTTAAAAAGAAGCATAATCCTCGCAAAGTTAGGTGAACCAAAGCATTCCATAAAGCAGCTGGCAAAGCACTTATAGTGGATAATTCATTTGAATTTGAAAAACATAGAAATGAACCTATCAAATACAGAGAGAGCTATGGAATAAAAGTATTGATGCAATGAAGAGAGTTGAAGAGATCAAGCAGAAATGCCAAGCGAAATTTATAATGAACAGATTGAAGAAAAAGAGCGACAGAAAGTTCAGGATATCAAAGAAGTCAAGCAAAACATCCATCTTATCCGAGCCTCTTTTGCAGGCAAAGGGAAGCAGTTGGAAGAGAAAATGGTATAGCAGTTACCAGAGGATGTGGATATGGAAGATGCTTCTTAAAAATCTCTGTAACCATTTCTTTTATGTATATTTGAAGATGCCCTTTGGAGACTTGGAACTGCTAAATTATTAGTTTATTTTTTACATAGGTCACTTAAATGAAAAGTGATTAATATATCTTTCCTACATTTCCATCTACAAAACATCAGATATTACGGATATTAGATTGCATCTCAGTGCTAAATTTTCACTGATAGATATACTTAATGTAAATCATGAAAATTCTACTTATAACTATAGAAGTGAATTGTGGATGTAAAATGGTTATGCCATTTGGATAATGGCACTAGGCAGCATTTGTATAATAACTAGTGACAAAAATTCATGGCTAGTGATAAAATATTATTTACAGTAAAATATTCCCTTTATTAATATTATAGAAGGGGGGATACAACAAGAAACTAACAATTTGTATGACAGTGTCAAATATTATTTTGATTTTAGTACTTCCTGTTTTCGTTTATTTGCATCTTAGAAGAGCATAATGACATTGTTTGATGAAGCTTAATTATGCTGCACTGCTTTGACCTGGTTTAACCCTTCTGATAGGTAGTTGTGGATGTTGGGGATGAGAACTGAATAATCTTTGCCTGGAGTGACACTACACTCTAGAATTTCCACTTTGGAGAAATACTCAGTTCTTTTTTTTTTTTTTTTTTGAGATGGAGTCTCTTTCTGTGGCCCAGGCTGGAGTGTAGTGGCGTGATCTTGGCTCACTGCAAGCTCCGCCTCCTGGGTTCACGCCATTCTCCTGCCTTAGCCTCCCCAGTAGCTGGGACTACAGGCACCCACCACCACTCCCAGCTAATTTCTTTGTATTTTTAGTAGAGACTGGGTTTCACCGTGTTAGCCAGGATGGTCTTGATCTCCTGACCTCGTGATCCACCCGTCTCGGCCTTCCAGAGTACTGGGGAGAATACTCAGTTTTAACTTGCGATTCCTGGTAGAGCATACTTTATTTTTCTAGCCTAGCAATGATGTAGAAGCAGAGGAATCCCAGTGCCTTTTAAAAGTTATTATGTGGTTTTCTTTTAAAAAGCTCCTGTTTTTGGAAAGTAGAATTTATGGGTACGCCATCTGTTCATTATTTGCACATAAAATAAAACCTTTTGAAAGGTTAAAAAAAAAAAAGAATTACAATGGAATTTTACTAGTGTTCATTAAAAATATGACCACTAAATAAAACTGCAAATAAGAGAAATGGCATATTTCTAAATAAAGGCTTCTAATTAATATACTAATTACCAATGGTTCATGTCAGAATGTTAAAGCTCTTGAAAGATTTCCTAATTTGCTTCTTTGTAAACTACTTTCTCTTTAAGAATTATGTAAGGCATAATAATACAAACTGATTATATTCCACTGGCCAACCTATGTGAAAGTTCTTTAAAATGAGGAATATATTATGGTCGATATCTTTAATGATAATTACCTTTCCATGGTGTAAAATCTGAAGAACAATCTTGTCTTTATGACAGCATTTATATATGAAAATTTAATTCTAAGAAATATATGGATTTGCAGAGAAGTGTCACATAGTAAAAAAAAAAAAAAAAAAATCTGGGCTCTGGGATGACATTGTTCTAAGTAGCAGACTGTTTTCTGTTCATAACCTTGAGCAAGTTAACTTTTCTGAACCTCAGGTATAGTGCTGAAACAGTATATGTAAAAATGCCTAACACAATGCCTATTAGAAATGCTCAGTAGATTCTAATTCTCTTTTCTTCCCGAGTAAAGTGGAAGCAAAGACTCTTCTCAAAAGTATGGTGGCCACATTTACCAAAATAGTAGAAAAAAAGAATGGTGAGGTAAAAAGGTACCCATTTAACCTCACTAAGGATGACTGTATTTACCAGTGTTAAACAGGGGAGTTTCTAATCAAAGGCTTTTAGGAATCAATTTTGACCATATTTTAAAACAATAGCTACATTTATTTTCCAAAATTATTTTGGTCTTTAAGTCATAGATTATATGGTAATATAAATCAGAATGTCTTCTATCTTCAATTTTGGCTAAAGGCAAATAGTAATACCTAATACTTATTTACATGCATACTATATACTGTCAGCCGTCCACATCTGTGGGTTCCTCCACATCCATGGGCTCCACATCTGTGAATTCAAACAACTGCAGTTCAAAAATATTTAGAGAAAGACAATAAAAGTAATAAAAAATACCATATTACAACTATTTTTTTTTTAATCTTTTTTTTTTTTTCTTTTTTTATTATTATTATTATACTTTAAGTTTTAGGGTACATGTGCACATTGTGCAGGTTAGTTACATATGTATACATGTGCCATGCTGGTGCACTGCACCCACTAACGTGTCATCTAGCATTAGGTATATCTCCCAATGCTATCCCTCCCCCCTCCCCCGACCCCACCACAGTCCCCAGAGTGTGATATTCCCCTTCCTGTGTCCATGTGATCTCATTGTTCAATTCCCACCTATGAGTGAGAATAGGCGGTGTTTGGTTTTTTGTTCTTGCGATGGTTTACTGAGAATGATGGTTTCCAATTTCATCCATGTCCCTACAAAGGACATGAACTCATCATTTTTTATGGCTGCATAGTATTCCATGGTGTATATGTGCCACATTTTCTTAATCCAGTCTATCATTGTTGGACATTTTATATAATATTCATATTGTATTAGGTATCATGAGTAATCTAGAGATGATTTCAAGCAGGGTTCCCCAAACCCTGGGCCATTGAACAGTAGTGGTCCATGGCTGGTTGGGAACCAGGTCACACAGCAGGACGTGAGCGGCAGACGTGAGCAAAACTTCATCTGTATTTACAACCACTCCCATTACCGCCTGAGCTCCACCTTTTGTCAGATCAGTGGCAGCATTAGATTCTCATAGAAGCACAAACCCTATTGTGAACTGCACATGTGAGGGACCTACATTGTGTGCGCCTTATGAGAATCGAATGCCTGAAGATCTGCCACTGTCTCCCATCACCCCCAGATGGGACTGTCTAGCTGCAGCAAAACAAGCTCAGGGTTCCCACTGATTTTACATTGTGATGACATGTATAATTATTGCATTATATATTACAATGTAATAAGAATAGAAATAACGTGCACAATAAATGTAATGCATTTGAATCATCACAAAACCATGCCCCCAACCCCCCAATCCTTGGAAAAATTGTCTTCCATGAAACCAGTTCCTGGTGCCAAAAAGTTTGGGAACCACTGATTTAAAGTATATGATGGGAGGATGTTCGTGGGTCACACACAAATACTGTGTCTTTCTATATAAGGGACTTGAGCATTAGTGTATGTTGTTATCTGCAGGGGGAGGGAAGGTGTTCTGAAACCAGTCCCTCAAGGATACCCAGGGAGGACTGTACCAAGTACTGTTCTGTAAACTTGGCCTAGATTAACTCATATAGTTAATCCTATATGGTAGGTTTTTTTTTTTAATCATTTTACGGATCAGGAAACTGATGCAAGATGAATTAAGAAAACGTGCCTAAACTTACACAACAAATACGTGCCAGGTCAGGGCTGAGATTCTGATCTAGGTAAACTGACTCTAGATTTTATGCTTTTAATTTTCACACAGTATTCTGAGATAAATCCAGAGAAGTGGTACAAACTTGAAACAGGTCTAAAAAGTTAAGCACAGAATGGATTGAGACCTTTAAAAAGCTGAAGGAAAAATATAGAGAATAACTTCTGTAGCTATATATCATCAAGAAAAATCAGTAAATCTATTGTATAGAAATAATAGCACAAATTTAAAATATAAAGATAATATAATTACTTATTGTACATGATTAGTATTCTAAGTTTAAAATATAATAAAAATTAAAGAATTACTTGACTTTTTAAAAACTTTTTTCTTTTGCCCTCCTGTGAGGACAGTCATTATTATTTTAAAAAAGAAGATAATCATATTTAATAGTTAAGCATGTATGCACTTAGTTGCTTTAAATGATTTAAAAATACTATCAACCTGAACTACTATATATCCAGATAATAAAAAAATGAAAAATAACATGTGATGTCAGAACCACTGTTAATCTTTTAGAAATCTGTTGATTATCTTTGAGTAAAAAGAACAGAAGGGTGAACCTTGATTGACCACTTCCCATTCTTTCTGATGTGAGAGGGTATCTCAAGTCAAAAAAGAACAGGTACTGACAAGGTTGCACAGAAAAGGGAACACTTATTCACTGCTGATGGGAGTGTAAATTAATTTGCCCATTGTGAAAAGCAGTGTGGCAATATTTGAAAGAAAAAAACAGAATTACCATTTGACCCAGCAATTCCATTATTGGATACATAACCAAAGGAATATAAATTCTTCTGCCATAAACACACATGTATATGTAAGTTCATTGCAGTACTATTGACAATAACAAAGACATGGAATCATTTAAATGCCCATCAGTGGTAGACTGGATAAAGGAATGAGAGCATGTCTTTTGCAGCAGCCTTTGGAGCCAGAGGCTATTATGTTAAGTGAACTAATGCAGGAACAGAAAACCAAATGCCGTATGTTCTCACTTATAAGTGGAAAACATGGAGTACACATGGATTCAAAGACAGGAGCAACAGACAGTGGGGCCTACTTGAGGGTAGAGGGTGGGAGGAGGGAGTGGAACGAAAAACTACCTATTGGGTACTCTGCGTATTACCTGGGTGACAAAATAATCTGTACACCAAACTCCCATGACGCACAATTTACCTATATGACAAACCTGCACATGTACTACTGAAACAGAAAAAAAAAAGAATGACTGAATGTACACTATGATGGAAAAGCTGTATAATTTATTATCTACATATAGTCATCTATTTAGAATGAAATATATATCTGGATAATTAACTTCAGCTGATATGTACTAGTTCTTCATTTCAATCTTTCTTATTCAGGAATTGATTAAATAGAGACTCCAGTTCCACCTGTGGTGGAGTAGCTTCTATGAAAACTAGCTAGAATACATAAAACAATTGTTTGAAGGAATTGGAGAACAACCAGTTTAAGCAGGACTTGAGGGATAATGGTTCTTGGGAGAACAGAATAGAAGCACTGGAAATGAACTCCACATTTACCCTAACTTTTTCCCTGAGAGCATTTTTCAATTCCTAGTGTGGAAGACTGGAATCCAAGTGGAAAATGACAATCTTTCTGTCATTAGCCAACTTTAGCCAGCTCTTAAGATGCATATGTATATGTACAAGTTGAAATTCCAGGAAATTCATCAATAAACAGAATTTGAGTGTCTGAACAAGTTAGCAGAGATTTCAGGAGGTGCATGGGACTAAGAAGAAAGGCTGAATTTTAAGCCCTGCCAAGGCAGAAGGGCCTTGGTAAACTTAGTTGGAACCCTAGAAGGACTACACTTTAGGAGTGAAGGCAAAATACTGAAAAAAAGAGAAAAACTATAGTTTTAGATATTTACTAGTTACTCATTGCATTTAGATATATTGAATGAAACACTAGACTCACAAAAACAGTAAATGAACAGACAGTTCATTAGAAAATGCCACATTGAAATACACACAGAAAAATGAAAGGTAAAACCAAAGGAACCTAAGATACGTATGGCACATGGTAAAAATAACTGACATTTGTGCAATATTCCCAAAAGAAGGATGGATAGACAGAATGATATAGAAACAATATTTGAAAAAATACTGATTGAGAATTTTGTAAAATTGAAAGCATCAAAGCAAAAATTTAGGAAGCAAGATAAATTTTATATGCACATGTGTTTGTATATGTATATATACACATACATACATATGTGCAAACACACACAAAGCCAGGTATACTGTAGTCAAGCTGCTGCAAAACAAAGAAAAAATTTCATTAATCTTGCCTCTGCTTCCAGTCTTTTTAGAACAGTGATTTTACCAACTATAGTTTTCTTTCCTAAGTCCATTATTTCCCCCCATTTTTAAAAAAACTTAGCGTCCCTGTTGATGGCTTTCAATATAGTTAGCTTCTCAACTTCCTTGGTCCTAATCCTCTCCTCAAATTCCACCTTTGTCTTTATAAGTAGAGTTACTTCATATAAGCTTTTAATTTTTCAAACTATGTGTTGAAAAAGAAAAGTAATATGAAAGAAAAGATTTATTTAAAATATTTCAAGATGCCTATTACGCATTTCTACTCATTATATTCACTCTCTGTAGTAAGTATATAAGACTAAAGACTTGAATCTATAATTCCCTTAGTTAGTCCCCTCAGACTTCTAATGGGAAGAGGCTCCCTAGGACTTCTAAGGAAGGACAATGGGCTGTCCTTCCCCTGAATTTCTTTAATTTTTACATTGCTAGTCACTAGCCCTGTATATCTTTCCCTGGTACTTTTTCAGTTTCTAATCCAGGCTGCCAAGGAGTACTAGAGAGATTATCATCCTTTCTATTTGTTCTATTGCAGACTCGCTTTTTGAACAGAAAAAAAAAAAAAAAAAGAAAAGAGGGAAAATGAAGAGTGAAAATAGTGAATAATTCTGGGATTGAGCCTAGAGAAGTAGAAAGTGTTTTATCAGTAACTTCTGTCTTCTTAGTAAGACAGAGGGCAAATTTATCTGATATGGGTATGTGTTATAAGCTTAGGGGGAAAATGGAAATTTGGAATTGCTATCAGAATACATAGAGTAATTGCTTTCAGAATAAACGGAATAGTTGCTACTCATGCCAGTAGATGTGTGAGCCAGCTACAAAGATAATCAGAAGAGTTGTCAAGTATCAGTCATGTCCAAGCCACAGTTAAATAGCATACATTTATAATAAATTATATCACTGATTCCCAGCAACATACAACAATGTTTGTATGTAGTAAGTGTTCAAAGGATTATTAAATAATTGCAGTTATCAATAGTGTATCTGAGATGACTAAACAGACTAAAGAAGAGAATACTTGCACATATCAGGAAAAGATCTAATAGTCATAATGAATAGTGTTTTACGAATTGCCAACAAAAGTTCAAAACAATATAAATAATAGTACACAAATGAAAATTATTCATAAATATATGGATCTATTTGAAGAATTTGGAGATAACTCAGAGGAAAACCTCTAAAATATACAAAGATTTAGAAAATCAAATTTATGAGGAAGATTAAAGTTAACTGGGAATTTTTAAGTTACTAAAGATAAAACTGAGTAATGATCTAACCAACTAGTATACAGAGTTGGTATATATGGAGAGGAGTATGGCCATCTGTTTGGTATATACATGCAAGACAGAGCAAAATAACATCAATATAAATTGCAAAATGAGGGAGTTTTAAAATTATTTATCCTAATGGAAAAAAAGTATATGGCATGAGAAATTAGAATAGATTACCAGATGATTATAGAGAAGATAATCTCTCTTTTAAGTTATTGAAAACTAAAATTGATTTTTAAAAATTCTATTTCATACCTGCTTTATTCTAAACACTAGGCCAAGTTTTGGAACACAGAAATGAATAGCTGACACTATTCCTGACTTTTCAATATTCTGCAGGAAAAGAGCTATATGAGCAGTGACTTTGAAAGCAGGACTTTTTATGATGATAAAAGGATCAATCCATTAGGCATACATGACAATTATAAACATACATGTACCCAAAAACAGAGTTTCAAAATACATTAAGCAAAAACTGGCAGAATTAAAGGGACAGACAGACAATTAAACAATAATAGTTGGGGGCTTTAGTACCCCACTTTCAATAATGGATAGAACAACTTTGCAGAAGAGGAAGACATTATAGTCCAGAGTTATACAGTAAAACCATAGAAATAGGTACTCAGTAAAGGTAGAATATAGGAGTTTATTTCTAAGCATTCATGGGGTGAAGGATGCATTAAGGGAATAGAAGATGAATGTTTGAAACAACTCAAGATAATTGACTAGTCGTCTAGATTTTAAAAGATACGTATACTATATATATAATATACATATATACTTGTCTGCTAGGATCATTAGAGAAGAACATTTTAGACAGTGTGTAGAAAAATGTGGATATGTGTAAAAATTTGTATCTTTGGGCAGCTATTTGTGACTTTGAATTGTTGAAACTTTAATAAGTATACTGAAGTGGAATAAGGGACGATTGTAATACTGGGACATGAGGCTGAAGAGGTATGATTCTGTCTCAAGACAGTGAAGCATATAGATAATGCTAGAGTACCTACAATAATTACCAATCATCTATGAAATATACCAAATTTTAATTCTAATCTTTCACTTCTTAAAGTGTATGTTAGTCAGGATCTTATCTGATATAGTTTTAAAAAGTATTTTTAAATATTTGAGCCTATGTAGAGTTTTTAAAAATTATGTTACCTTTTTTAACTTTTATTTTATGTTCAAGGGTACATGTTCAGATTTGTTATACAGGTAAACTCATGTCATAGGGGTTTGTTGTACAGATTATTTTGTCACCCAGGTATTAAGCCTAGTACCCATTAATTATTTTTCTTGATCCTCTCCCTCCTCCCGTCTTCCACCCTCCAATAGACCCCGGTGTGTGTTGTTCCCTTCTATGTGTTCATGTGTTCTCATCATTTAGCTCCTGCTTATAAATTAGAACATGTGGTATTTGGCTTTCTGTTCTTGCATTAGTTCACTTAAGATAATGGCCTCCAGCTCCATCCAAGTCCCTGCAAAGGACATTATCTTGTTCTTTTTTGTGGCTGCATAGTATTTCATGGTGTATATGTATATGTACATTTTCTTTATTCAGTCTACCATTGATGGGCATTTAGGTTGATTCTGTGTCTTTGCTATTGTGGATAGTGTTGTGATGAACATATACGTTGCATGTGTCTTTATGATATAACGATTTATATTTCTTTGGGTATATACCCAGTAGTGGGATTGCTGGATCAAATGAGAGTTCTGTTTCAGCTCTTTGAGGAATTGCCACGGTGCTTTCCGCAATGCTTGAATTAATTTATACTCCCACCAACAGTGTATACATGTTCCTTTTTCTCTGCAACCTCACCAGCATCTGTTATTTTTGGACTTTTTAATAATAGCCATTCTAATTGGTGTGAGATGGTATCTCATTATGGTTTTGATTTGCATCTCTCTAATGATCAGTGATGTTGAGCTTTTTCTCATGATTGTTGGCTGTATGTATGTCTTCTTTTGAAAAGCATCTATTTATATCCTTTGCCCACTTTTTAATAGAGTTGTTCATTTTCTTCTTGTACATTTGTTGAAGTTCCTTATAGATGCTGGCTATTAGACCTTTGTCAGATGCATAGCTTGCAAAAATTTTCTCCTATTCTGTAGGTTGCCTGTTTAATCTGTTGATAGTTTATTTTGCTCTGCAGAAGTTTTTTAGTTTAATTAGATCCCATTTGTCAATTTTTGCTTTTGTTGCAATTCCTTTTGGCATCTTTGTCACTAACTCTGCTCATTCCTGCATCCAGAATGGTATTGCCTAGGTTGTCTGGACCAGAGTTTCTATAGTTTTGGATTTTACTATAATGGTACCTTTAATATTAATGAAACCTATAAACCATGAAAGTTACTGTAGAAAATTGTAACAAGAATCTATTTCAACCCTTCTATTGTGCAATATGTTATATACACATATCACAGCTTTTTACCTTTAGTAGTAACTAAAATGTGCATGTTTATTGATTCTGCATTTGCCACACTATGTTCCATGAAACACTGATATTCCAAAAATATTAATACCGTAGTAGTCCCCCCATCCACAGTTTCACTTTCTGTCGTTTCAGTTATGTGCAGTCAAGTGCCATCCAAAAATATTAATATTGAGAGAAAGTTATTATAAAAATAATAACTTATAGTATATTGTTATCATTGTTTTATTTTATTATTGTTCTTAATCTATTACTGTTAATAATTAAGTAAAGTTTATCATAGGTGTGTGTGTGTAGGAAAAAACAGTATGTAGAGAGTTTAGTACATTTTCAGTTTCAGGCATCCAGTATAGATCTTGGAACATATCCCGTATAGATAAGAAAGGACTGCTGGAAAGATTCAAATGGGATGAATAAAAGGATTCTCAGGCCTCTCAGTTCTTTCACCATCTTTCACCCAATGATGTCCTTCATCCTTCCTAAGCCACTGGCTCCAATGGTCACACCCTAGCTCCTTTCATTACTAATAACTATCACTCCTCTATAACTTTCATTTCAGTTATCACTCTCTTCAGTTGTCACTTCTTTCTATTTAACTCCCTCTAGTAATTGAACTGTGATAAATCTTTGATCACCGTGGACCTCCAATTCTTTTTGATTGGCTCCTTACCTCTTTCATTTCCCTCCTTACCTAGCTTACATTATGTAATCAATCGAATACTCTATTAAATATACCTTTAATTTTCATGTCCTTCTCGTCATATTGTCTTTTCTTGGGTGAATAGTAGCCACCCAGAGATAACAGATAACCCTGAATTAACAAGACATTCTTGAAGAAGTTAACCTGCGAGAACTCGCTCGACCAGTTACCGCACTGGCACAAGGGCAGGTAAATTGCCCAGTAGAATAGAATATAGCCAGAAAGAGATCAAGGCATATGTGGATGCTGGACTTACGGCCAAGGTGGCATTGCAAAATTGCAATTTTTTTTTATCATATATTAAGTTTTAGGGTACATGTGCACATTGTGCAGGTTAGTTACATATGTATACATGTGCCATGCTCGTGTGCTGCACCCACTAACTCGTCATCTAGCATTAGGTATATCTCCCAATGCTATCCCTCCCCCCTCCCCCCACCCCACAACAGTCCCCAGAGTGTGATGTTCCCCTTCCTGTGTCCATGTGATCTCATTGTTCAATTCGCACCTATGAGTGAGAATATGCGGTGTTTGGTTTTTTGATTGGGTGTCTTCAAACAGAAACACACATAACTCAAGTTTATATATCTATCTATTGATGAAAATGTTGTGACCACAGGCTTGCAGCAATCTAAACTTTTATTTCTCCTAGGAGCAGTGGTTCAGTATTAGCTCTTTCAGAGTGTGTGGCAATTTTATAGAAATAACTATTACAACTACTGAGAATTGACTATTTGATATTTTGTAAACTATTGTAAACGTTATCTTTTGAAAATTCCACTTTTGTGAAACAAAAAAATAAACCTTTGTCCTTTAGGAAAAAAAAAAAAAAGACAGATAACCCTGTGTTGACCCTTGACTCCTCTTTTGTCCAAATTCTCAATGTGTATGTAATCCATCATTAATTCCTGTTAATTCTAACCTCTAGAATATATCTTGAAATTATTTACTTTCTCCATCTCCACTGCTACCATTCTGGGAGAAGCCACAGTTAACCATAGGTGGGCCACAGTCCCATCTGATTACTTAGATAGCAGGCCCTGCTTTTAATCTTTGACCTCGTGGTAGGCAGAATTTTGGACTCATGACTTTCACCTGCTTTTGTTACTCCTGTGAATAAGTTAGGTTATATAGCAAAAGTGACATTGCAGATGACCTTAAAATAGGGAGGTTATCCCGCATTATTTGGTTGAGCCCAATATAATCACATGAGCCTTAAAAGCAGAGAGAAGGGCAAAAGAGGAAGTCAGAGAGATTGGAAACATCATTTCTTCTTGTCAGATTATTTCAAAGATGTATTCGAATAATGAATAATGGCCAAATTCACAGGTACACGTTTAGCACTATTTCTTCCTGAATAGAGTATTCCCCATCCTAATGACCAATTTCATATTCTTCTTTAAAATAATGAAATTTATCACCTCAGCCCTGTTATTTCTGATATATGTTTTTAAAAATCAAAGAATTTTTAGAAGAATCAGATATAGTGTGAAAATGAAAATAAATTTTTAAACAAAAAGCAATAACGTATACTTTCAAATAAATTTGGTCTTTAAAACCGTCCCCTTGGTATGTGTACAATTATACAGATACCGTTTGCCCCAATGTTGAAGTTTATCCTAGATATGATTTAATATATGAGCACTTTAGAAAAATTAATGCCTTGCCCTTGAAATCACAGGACTTTTTTTTCCCCCTTCTTCCTTTACTTCCTTCATTGCTGTTTAATCCAGACCATTTCCTTCCTCTACCATTTGGCTCAGTAGCCTAGGTTTTCTGGTCTCCCCAGAGAAGACTGCCGCTGTGCAGACTGAGTGGCATGTAAAGAGCAGAGCTACTCCTACTTTGGGAAGTGCAATCGGGCAGACTTGTCCCATGAAGTGTATGTCAGGAAAAAGATGGCAGGTAATAAGTTCTTTTGCGTGCTTTTCACAGGCTGAAGGCTGATAACATGGGGATAGTTGAGTACCAGAAATATTAGACACAAGAAAATAAATCACTGCCAATAATAGACTTGCTTTCTAACAAATCTTAGGAATTTTTGATTTGGGGAAATCTTTTTTTTTTTTTTTTTTTGAGACGGAGCCTCGCTCTATTGCTCAGGCTGGGTTTCAATGGCGCAATCTCAGCTCACTGCAACCTCTGTCTCCCGGGTTCAAGCTATTCTTCTGCCTCAGCCTCCTGAGTAGCTGGGATTACGGGTGCTCGCCACCACGCCCAGCTAATTTTTGTATTTTTAGTAGAGACGGGGTTTCACCATGTTGGTCAGGCTGGTCTTGAACTCCTGACCTCGTGATCCTCCCATCTCGGCCTCCCAAAGTGCTGGGATTACAGGCATGAGCCACCGCACCAGATGATTTGGGGAAATCTTTAATAATATCTTTCCTAGGTCGTGACTCTCTTTTGCTTTAGAACTTACACATCACTGATGTAAGAGTTCTTTTTTTTGTTTGTTTTAAAGAAGTGGACTCTCACTGTGTTGCATAGGCTGGTCTCAAACTCCTGGCCTCAAGAAATCCTCTCACCTTGGATTCCAGAAGTGCTGGGATTATTGGCGTGAGCCAGTGAACCTAGCCCTGAAGTCAGTTCTAAATATTGTCAAACATAGAGTATTTTACTATCATTGGGCCCTAGATAATCTTTATATTTTGTCATCTTGACTGCTGACATAAGGTAATTGAGCATCATATCTAGAAAGTTTTTTTTTTTTTTTTTTTTTTTTTTTTGAGATGGAGTCTCGCCCTGTCGCCCAGGTTGGAGTGCAGTGGCTCAATCTCGGCTCACTGCAACTCCGCCTCCCGGGTTCATGCCATTCTCCTGCCTCAGCCTCCCGAGTAGCTGGGACTGCAGGCGCCCACCACCACACCCGGCTACTTTTTTGTATTTTTAGTAGAGATAGGGTTTCACCATGTTAGCCAGGATGGTCTCGATCTCCTGACCTCGTGATCCGCCCGCCTCGGGCTCCCAAAGTGCTGGGATTACAGGCATGAGCCACCGCGCCCGGCCATATCTACAAGGTTTTAATGTAGATATCATTCAGACTAATTTCTGTAATCTTGTCATTGTTATTTCCTCAAAGTGCTGTACCACAAATAAGAAAATAATTTGAATGCAATTAGAAAAAAAAATTTACTTTTATCCCAAAGCATTAGTAAGACATGGTTAGCAATAATGCATATATTTTACCTTACTTATTAAACTTGTCGTGCTTCTCAACGCATTTCTTCCTGAGGTTGGACATTTTTATAATATAATTTAGCATTTTTAAACCTATGTATATTTTTTCTCTCAAAAAGTCTTGTATTCCACTTATATTGTTTAATGACCTGTTCAGTCAGTGTGTGATTCTCAGTTGGGAACTTTCAAAGTAATTGAACATAATTTTTCTCTAACCCAACTTTTATTTCTATCTGATTTTATATATGATTTCCATAATTATATTATTGTTCAAATAGAGCAAATCAAAGGTCCCTCCTTTGTACCATTAACATGTATCCACTTTTCAACTATTTTTTCTCTGTTAAAACATTTTAAAAATATAGCTACATTTGGAAATGATATAAAAGTATACTTTATTTAAAATACTGTAGGAAAATTTCAAACATTGTTGTCTTGTGTAAAATTGTAACTCCAGGTCTGCTCAGATACTACACCTTTGCTTTAAAACATGCCTTTTCTCTGAATGCCACTGAAATTGTGAGATTAAAACCTATACGTTCTTTTTTTTTTCTTTCCAACTTTTATTTTAGTTCAGGGTGTACATTTGCAGGTTTGTTACATGGGTAAATTGCATGTCCCGAGGGTTTGGTGTACAGATTATTTTGTCACCCAAGTAATAAGCATAGTTTTTGGATCATTTGGTTGGGTATCTTTTTTTTTAATGGAAACCAGAATGGTATTTATTATTTTACATTTGGGAGAGGAGATATCCTAAAGGGTCCAGAATACATAAGTCTCTTACGTATGATACTCCTTTTTTTGTTACTGAGGTATACTTATAAGTGCAGATAAGTAATCAGAAGGTTCCTTGGTAAGCGCTGAATTAGAACAAAGGCAGTTAGGTAATTTGGAGTTTAATAGCCTAGAGTACCTGATAGAGATGTGCTGGGGGCCACAACCCTGTATGTAATTTTAAAGTTTCTAAGTAGCCACATTTTAAAAAGTAAAAACAGATGAAATTAACTTTAATAATATATTTAACCCAATATATCAAAATGTTATTTTAACATGTAGTCAATATATTAAAATTATTCTGTTTTTCATACTAAGTATTCAAAATCTGGTGTGTATTTTACACTTTTGTACATCTCAACTCATTCATTTCCTAGTTCCTTCAGTTGCTTAAGAAAAATTACTGAATGTTTCTGTCTCAATTTTCCCATTTTTATAATAGAGATAATTGCAAGGATTAAATTAGATAATATATGATACACAGTTGGCACATGATCTTATATAAAGCTTAGTTGCTTTCTAAAAAATATTTCAAACAGTTGAATATGACGTATAATGGCATCACTGTCTCAAGGCAAAGAACATTTTAAGGATTAAATTATCTGTAACTCCCGAATTCTCATCTCTTCCCCTTGGACAGTGCTGGGCACACACGTCTCTCTGACTCCCTATTCAAATTACGTAAAAAAAGAAGCAGAATCAATGTTCGTTCACCAGTTGTAGCACATGTGTCACACTAATGCAAGATGTTAATAACAAGGGAAACAAGGTCATGGGGAAGGAAGGGCAGAAATATGTGAATGCTCTAATTTCTGCTCTATTTTTCTGTAAACCTAAAGCTACTATAAAAAGTAAAAAGCTATGATTTCTTTCTTAAAAAAGTCAAACATGTTTGCTGTCAGTTCCTGATGCATGTTAGCTGTGACAGAATACGGCAGTAAAAGTGACAGTTTCAGCATTATTAAAATCATCAATAAGAGGAGCTTAGTTATGGGTAAAAAATCTAACAATATTTTCTCTGTCAATAGTCATTCATTATCTACCTCTTTTAAACTAATACATGGAAAATATATGCACAAAATGGTTGTTTTTCCTCCATGGTTGTTGGGGTGAATACTGGGAGTTATTGGTAGCATTCTGATGGTAATGGCAGAAATCTTTCATACATTTTAAACACTATTGCTGGTTTTGAGAATATTTTCTTCTCCTAATTTCAGGTTGGGTGGGACTATATCAGCATACAAGATAGTACCAGATGAAATAGAAGAAATCAAGGTATAGTATGGCATTTTTCACCTCTACAAACATTTAGCATCTTGGTGAGGGGTGGGGAAGAGTTGCTTTTTCTTTATGCCATTGATATTTGGCTATGTTAGAATATTATTTAATTCTCAGTTATCATAGTGAATTAAAAATTTATATGTATCAGATAATCACCATCAGATTTATCTGCCATTTGCAATGAATTTCTGACTACAATATTAGGAGAATCGAAAAGGAACCCTTTCCTGTGTAGTTCATTAAAAATCTACATAAGAAAACACTGTGTATAAGCATTGGTGTGCATAGTGGATTATCTTTTTATCTTGTTGCAATTTCTTTTCCCTATAAGCCTTCACCACTTTTAAATATCAGTCTTTTTTTTAAATTATTATTATACTTTAAGTTTTAGGGTACATGTGCACAATGTGCAGGTTAGTTACATATGTATACATGTGACATGCTGGTGCATTGCACCCACTAACTCGTCATCTAGCTTAGGTATATCTCCCAATGCTATCCCGAGCTGGTTTTTTGAAAGGATCAACAAAATTGATAGACCGCTAGCAAGACTAATAAAAAAAAAAAAAGAGAGAAGAATCAAATAGACGCAATAAAAAATGATAAAGGGGATATCACCACCGATCCCGCAGAAATACAAACTACCATCAGAGAATACTACAAACACCTCTACGCAAATAAACTAGAAAATCTAGAAGAAATGGATAAATTCCTCGACAAATACACTCTCCCAAGACTAAACCAGGAAGAAGTTGAATCTCTGAATAGACCAATAACAGGAGCTGAAATTCTGGCAATAATCAGTAGCCTACCAACCAAAAAGAGTCCAGGACCAGATGGATTCACAGCTGAATTCTACCTGAGGTACAAGGAGGAACTGGTACCATTCCTTCTGAAACTATCCCAATCAATAGAAAGAGAGGGAATCCTCCCTAACTCATTTTATGAGGCCAGCATCATCCTGATACCAAAGCCGGGCAGAGACACAACCAAAAAAGAGAATTTTAGACCAATATCCTTGATGAACATTGATGCAAAAATCCTCAATAAAATACTGGCAAACCGAATCCAGCAGCACATCAAAAAGCTTATCCACCACGATCAAGTGGGCTTCATCCCTGGGATGCAAGGCTGGTTCAATTTACGCAAATCAATAAATGTAATCCAGCATATAAACAGAGCCAAAGACAAAAACCACATGATTATCTCAATACATGAAGAAAAGGCCTTTGACAAAATTCAACAACCCTTCATGCTAAAAACTCTCAATAAATTAGGTATTGATGGGACGTATCTCAAAATAATAAGAGCTATCTATGACAAACCAACAGCCAATATCATACTGAATGGACAAAAACTGGAAGCATTCCCTTTGAAAACTGGCACAAGACAGGGATGCCCTCTCTCACCACTCCTATTCAACATAGTGTTGGAAGTTCTGGCCAGGGCAATCAGGCAGGAGAAGGAAATAAAGGGTATTCATTTAGGAAAAGAGGAAGTCACATTGTCCCTGTTTGCAGACGACATGATTGTATATCTAGAAAACCCCATCGTCTCAGCCCAAAATCTCCTTAAGCTGATAAGCAACTTCAGCAAAGTCTCAGGATACAAAATCAATGTACAAAAATCACAAGCATTCTTATACACCAATAACAGACAAACAGAGAGCCAAATCATGAGTGAACTCCCATTCACAATTGCTTCAAGGAGAATAAAATACCTAGGAATCCAACTTACAAGGGACATGAAGGACCTCTTCAAGGAGAACTACAAACCACTGCTCAGTGAAATAGTAACAGTCTTTTAGTACATATTTTTCTGGGTTCCTTTGAAAACACGATATGCCAATTGCAATTAAAAATTTACATTACAGTAATGAAAAATTGACTTACTCTTTAAAAATTAGAGCATTATGACATTATTCTGTCTCTAACATTTTACTAAGTCTTATGGAATATTAATTTTCTAACATAATATGTTGTTCTTTTTCAAAAGCAAGATTGAATAATTGGATATTAATAATGAAGAATAAACAATACTGGTTAAATTGTTAACAATGACATGTAAAGATCTCAACAAATCACTAAGCTTGATTTGATTAAACTTTTCAATATCAAGTTCACTAAATTCAAATCTTTCAATAAATTCAAATTCAATTCAAAATAATTATTTAATTCTATGACTCAAGACTCAAGGGGCTTTTTTTTTTTTTTTTTTTTTTTTTTTTGAGACAGTCTCGCTCTGTCACCCAGGCTGCAGTGCAGTGGCATGATCTCAGCTCACTGCAGCCTCCAACCTCCTGGGTTCAAGTGATTTTCCTGCCTCAGCCTCCCGAGTAGCTTGGATTATAGGCACATGACACCACACCCAGCTAATTTTTTTTTTAATTTTATTTTAGTAGAGATAAATTTTCTTCAAGTTGGCCAGGCTGGTCTTGAACCCCTGACCTCAGGTGATCCATCTGCCTCGGCCTCCCAAAGTGCTGGGATTAAGGCATGAGCCACTGCGCCCAGCCTCAAGGGACATTTTTGAAAAGAAAAAAATCTTGTAATTTGTTTGCATTATTTTTAAATCAAGTAAGCCCATTGATCTATTATATGATACACTATTAGCTTCAGTATGTCAAGTGTTCTAATGTATGGTCAACATCAGAAATTAATGTGGTAATTCTAGCTTCAAAAAAAATTTCAAGAAATTTATTCCAACTTTGTGTGAACTTGTAAAATATTTTAGCTAGGAGGAACTTTAGGTCTAATCCAGATCTCTCATTTTTCATATGAGGAAATTGAATAAATATTTTATTTGACATTCAATAATGACTTCTAAAAATATCATCAAATGTTGTTAAAGGGTTGGAAAAGCATGAGGATATTACTTCTTGAAATATATTTTATAATGACTCAAAAATTGAACTCTAGAAACTTTAAGCAATTAATAAATATATATAAATAAGCAACATTTATGTAAAGAATATTGAATTGAAATTATGTATTATAAAGGCACCCTGTCTGATAATACAATTAAAATGTGTGTTAACTGATGAAGATAAACCAAGAGTTTTATGGAAATACATAGAAGGGACACCTGGACATTGGAAAAAGTAAATCAGCAAAGTCTTTCCAAGAGGTAACCCCCAGGAAATTGGAGTTTTATACAGAAGCATAGACATGAAATAATAGGATACCAGATTATAGGGTATAAAATAAAGACTGGTAAGATAAAGGGCTGGAAGCAGGCCTTTATCCCATGTTAAGAAGTTTGGTTTTTATCCTGAAAATTATGGGATTCCTTTATGTGATTTTTAAGGAAGAAAGTAACATAATCATTTTGATACTTTTTTAAAGCCTTACTGTGGTGAATGAGAAAAGTGATTTCAGCAGAGAAGAGGTTCTACCTAGATGGAAGGAGACCAGGTTGCAGGAATGTAGGCACAAAATGATTAGAACCTGAACTCAAGCAGTGACAATGAGGCTAGAGAAGAAAACAAGATTTGAAAAATATTATTTCAGAAAGTAAAATCAGCAATACTTGATAACTTATTGGATGTTTAGGGGAAATTGGAAAGATTGACTCAGATTTCTGGCTTGGGAAATTGAGTAGATGGTGTTGCTGTTAACTTAAAAAGGATGTTTTGGAGACAGAATATTATTAATAGGAAAGAGGATGTTTTGGACTTACTGAGTTTGAGGTCCCTCTCAGATTACCAAATATCCAATAAGTCATTGAATAAATCAGCCTGGAACTCAGAAGAGAGACACAATCTAGTAATTGATATTAAGGTTTGTCCTCATACAAAAGAGTTAATTGAGGCCATGCTAGTCAGTGAATGGAATCTCACGGAAAAGTTATATGAGGTATTAAAATTGGGCTGAAGATGTAACCTTAAGGAAGACTTACCCTAAAGGCAGAGTATTAATATATTATTTAATTAGTTTAATTAATAGCAGGACTTTTGCCTGTTTTTAAATAGTGATTTTTTTCCTAAAGGAATCAGCTTTTTTTTTTTCATTGTGTGTGCTTTTTTTATTTTAGAGTTACAAGAGTTATCCCTCAGGAGATTCCTTTTAAAAAAAGCAGGATTCATGGATGATATGTAACATAATTTTTCCGTCGATTACTGGTATTATATCTAAAATAACTTGAGAGTTTGAGGCCTGAGGCATTAAAAAAATGAGGAATTCATCTTGCTTTCAAAGTACTCAAAGAAAAACTGTTCTAAAACATTTCACCAATATTTGATGGCACATTAGCATTTTCAGCTGAAATCAGTTACAATCGTTTTTGTTTTAGCTGAAAGAAATGTGAAGCATACGGATGTAATGTTCATTTCAGTTGGGTAATATCTGAGTAATCTTAAATTGTCTAAACAGAACAATTGAGTTTGAATTTGATATGCTACCTATAGTATATACCATGTATAAATAAATATGCATATGTATTTTTGTTATTAAAATAATATGACTGATTAAACATAAATCACATTTTGGCAGATGTGGGAATCTTTCACAGTTTTCTAGCACCAGAAATTATCAAGTTCATAAATTTTTTCAATTACACGTATATTTATTGATTGTAATAAATCACTTCAAAACTGAATGGATTCTTAGCCCTTAGCCACATAAAGAGTGAATAAATTCCTGGCCCAATCAGAAGTCCCTTTTTCACCCTAGATGTAACCACTATTCTGACTTCTTTCTTTTTTTTTTTTTTTGATACGGAGTCTCTGTCGCCCGGGCTTGAGTGCAGTGGCACGATCTCAGCACACTGCAACCTCTACCTCCCCGGTTCAAGCAATTCTCCTGCCTCAGCTTCCTGAGTAGCTGGGACTACAGGCATGCGCCACCACACCCAGCTAATTTTTGTATTTTTAGTAGAGACAGGGTTTTGCTATGTGGGCCAGGCTGGTCTCGAACCTCCTGACCTGAAGTGATCCACCTGCCTCGGCCTCCCAAAGTGCTGGGATTACAGACGTGAGCCACCGCGCCCAGCCTACTATTATGATTTTTATCATTATCAATTCCTTGCTTTTGTTCCGTTTTACCAACTATATACACATCCCTAAACATTACAATTCATGTTTGCTCTCTTTGAACTTCATATGAATTAAATCATATTGTATGCAGTTTTTTTGTGTCTTGCTTTTTTATCAACCGTTTTTGTAGGATTCATTCATGTTATTGACTGTAACTAAGGTCTTTGTTTAATTGTAAAATACACCACTGTACCACAGATCACTGAGACATCCTACTGTTGAATATTTAGCTTGTTTCCATTTGGGACGATTATGAAAAGTGATGCTATAAACATTATTATAAGAGCATCCTGGTACTCATGTATAAGTTTCTCTGAAGTGTATACTGAAGAGTGGAATTCCTGGGTATTAAGAAACATGTATTTTCAACTTTCCTGACTGAAATCTCACTTTTCTAAAGTAGTTATGCCAGTTTACACTACCATCTTGAATGCATTTATTTTAAATAGATATATTTAAATATTCTTTGTCTGCAATGTATATTACTATAGATTTTATTTATATGTGAGGTGACTAAATTGATACAATATTTTTAAAATGTGTCTTTGTTTTTCCAGCCCATGGGAAAAATCCTGAGGGATAATTCTTAATGAAAAAGTCCATTTTTGCCCCACTGGTTTGAATTTTGCCTCATGTATCTCATACTAAATTTTCCAATTTAGGACATATGCATACTTAAGTCTGTCTTTTCCTGAACTTCTGTTCCATTAATCTATTTATTCTTTTCTCAGCACTGTATGGTTTTGATTATAGTGCTTTTTTAGCATAGTAGGAAAGGTCCTGTGTTGTTTTTCTTTTTTATTTTATTGGCTCATGTATTGATTGCTCCAGATAACATTATAATATCTCTGTCATGTTTCAAAAGTATTCCTGCTGAGGAGACTTCCAGCCAAGATGGAGTAGCTTTATTCCTTCCAGATCCTTCCTATTACTACTAAAAATGCCTAGGCATTATAAAATAAACATAGAAAGATTCTGGGCCAGGTGCGGTGGCTCATGCTTGTAATCCCAGCACTTTGGGAGGCCAAGGCGGGCGGATCACGAGGTCAGGAGATTGAGACCATCCTGGCTAATACGGTGGAACCCTGTCTCTACTAAAAATACAAAAATAATAATAATAATTAGCCATGCATGGTGGCATGCATCTGTAGTCCCAGCTACCTGAGAGGCTGAGGCAAGAGAAGAATCGCTTGAACCCGGGAGGTGGAGGATGCAGTGAGCTGAGATGGTGCCACTGCACTCCACCCTGGATGACAGAGCGAGACTCCATCTCAAAAACAAACAAACAAACAAAAAAACCAAAAGAAAGAAAGAAAGATTCTGAAAGATGGAAAGAAGAAGGCAGACTACCTGGCTACCTGGGAACCTCAGGAATTGAGAAATGACATGGCAGTGAGTTACTTGGGTTTCCTTATTATCTCCTGTATATTCTGGACAGGATACTGAAGAAAGCCTTCAACCTGGAACCACCAACAGGTGGCGTAAACAAAAAATACCCCTACAAAAGCCTGTTTGTCTAGCCAACAGACAAGGACAAGGGTCACCTAAGAGGCAAGAATGGCTTTTCAGCAATATTTGCCCTACTACAGCTAAGCACCAATGGAAAAACTGTTCAGTTCCCTTATAGTTTCAGTTGAGTCAAGCAGGCAGCTGATATTCCACATCACCCCCTGCCATCCCACAGAAGTAAGTGGCATAGTTCTGAATCCCTCACCTGGTGGTGGCAGCAGGGCTGAGTAGGGAGCTATTCTTCCATCTTTCACCTGGCAGAGCAGATGTCACTCTGATTTCCTGGCTATGATATTAAAGTTGAAACCAAGCAGAAGTTGATCTATCACCAGCCCAGTGGAAACAAGCTGTGCTCCAGTTTTCCCAGCAGGGTAGTGTCAGTGGAGTCCAGTGATGAGCTGAGCCTCCATCCCCATTCAGTATCAGTGAGACTTAACAAGGCAGCACAAAGTAGAGCTAGTTACCACTATTTCACCTTTCCTTTCCCACGTAAGTGAGGCCTGGCAGAGAGGTGAACCTCTACCCCCAGCTGTATCAACAAGGCTAAGCCAGGTGAGGCTATTCGTACTTCTGCTCACAATATGAGTCAACCATCTACTCTCCCCAACCCTTGGTATTAGCATGCGCCCCTACTTGGTATCAACAGTGGAGCAAGGTAATGTCAACTTTCACCAGAAAGGTCTCAGCAGAGCCAAGAAGGGAGCTGAACTTCTACCTTACAGTCTTAAATTAAGCAGTGTGAATCAGTGCTTCACTTTTGCCAGAGTGGTGTCAGTGAGACCTTGCAGAAGCTGAACATACATGTCCATAAGGCCCTTGTGTTACATTGCGACATGGGGGACATCTGCTAAAAAAGATTAAATAGTCTCAAATATAAAATACCAAATGTCCTAGGTGACAATAAAAATATCAGTCATCATACCAAGAACAAGGAAAATCACAGCATGAGTGAGAAAAAAACAGTCTACAGACACCAACACAAAGAAGATTCAGGTGTTGAAATTATCTGACAAAGATTTTAAAGCACCTATTATAAAAGTGCTTCAATAAGCAACTATGAATTCTCTTTAAAAATGAAAAAATGGAAAATCTTGCCAAATAAAAATTATAAAAGGAACCAAATGAAAATTATAGAACTGAGAAATACCATCACCAATATAGAAAACTCACAGGGGGCAACAGACGGAAGTGGCACAACATTTTTCAAGTGCTGGAAAAAAGAACTGTCAACTACAAATGCCATATTCAGTGAAGTTATTCTTCAAGAATGAATAAGGACATACTCAAACGCGAAAACTAAAAGAATGTGTCACTAGAAAACCACTCTGAAAGAGTGGCTAAATAAATTCTTTAAAGGGAAAGGAAGTAATAGAAAAAGGCCTGAAATTTCAGAAAGGAGAAAACAGCAGAATGGGTCAATACAATAGATTGTATTTTCTTATAATTTTTAAAATCACAGTTATACTGTATAATATGGTATTCTATATATGTACATACTTAACACAATCATATTTAAAATGTGGAAGGGTAAAGTTGCCTAAATGGAGGTAAGATTTCTGTATTTCACTTGGAATGATAAAATGTCAATACTGGTAGAGTGTGGTAAGTTATATCTGTATATTGTAATACTGAGAACAGCCACTAAGAAAAGTATACAAAGCAATATACTCAAAACGCTATGAATAAAGGTAGAATTCTAAAAAGTGTTTAAGTGATTCACAATAAGCAAGCATATAAAAACAGGAAAAAGAAACAGGACAAAAACAGAAAATAGATAATAAAATGGCAGACTTAAGGCCTATGGTCTTAATACTTACCTTAAATATAAATAATCTAAATATGCCAATTAAAAGACAGATTTTGACAGAATGGATTTTTAAAAAATGATCCAATAAATGCCATTCTAAAGAAACTAATTTCAAAAATGATGACATAAGTAGGTAGTAAGCAATAGGATACAGAAGGATGGCGAAAGATTTATGTGTGAACACAAATTTTAAAAAAAAAAGCAGGAGTGGGCTGGGCACAGTGGCTTACGCCTGTAATCCCAGCCTTTGGGGAGGTCGAAGCGGGTGGATCACCTGAGGTCGGGAGTTCTAGACCAGCCTGGCCAACATGGTGAAACCTGTCTCTACTAAAAGTACAGGAATATCCAGGCATGGTGGCACATGCCTGTAGTCCCCACGACTCAGGAGGCTGAGGCAGGAGAATCTCTTGAACCGGGGAGGTGGAGGTTGCAGTGAGCCAAGATCACACCACTGCACTCCAGCCTGGGTGACAGAGTGAGACTCCATTTCAAAAATAAATAAATTAATAAATAAATAAAATTTAAAAAGCATTAGTGGCTGTATTAATATCAGACCAAGTAGACTTCAGAACAAGAAAAATTCTGGAGACAGAGAGGACATCCCATAATGTGAAAGGCTCAATCCACCAGGAAAACAGCAATCTTAAAAGTATGTGTACCAAAAATTGAAATATACAGAATGCTCCACCAAAAATTAAACAACACACATTTTTTTTCAAGCACACATGAAACATTTACCTTGGAAAACCATATCCTGAATCATAAAACAAACCAAAACAGTACTTAAAAATTGAAATTATGCATAGTATGTCCTCTGACCATAATGGAACCAAACCAAAAAAAAACCAAAAAACAAACAAAAAAAAAAAACAGAAAAATATCAGGAAAAGCTCTAATACATGCCAGAGGAAATTAAAAGATACTCTAGTAAATAATCAAATAAGATGTCTCAAATGAAATTTTAAAAATTTACACAAACGAAAAATGAAAATATAACACATCAAAAAATCTGTAAAGCAGTGAAAGCAGGGCTGAGAGGAAAAATTATATGCAAAGCAGACATTAAGAGAAGAGGAAAGTTCTCAAATCAGTAATCTAAGTTTTTTCCTCCAGAAACTAGAAGAAGAGCAAAATATATTCAGAGCAATCAAAAGAAAGAAAACAATGAATTAAGTATTGAAATAAATAAAATTGAAAACAGGAAAACAATAGTCAGTAAAATAAAATCTGCTTCTTTATAAAGCTCAAAGAAATTGGTAAGCCTCTTGCTACATTGCAAAGATAAAGGAGAAAGGGCACAATCACCAATGTCATGAATAAAACAAGGAGTATTACTACAGATCTTCTATTCTTTAAAAGGATAATTAGGTAATACTATTAAAAACTTCATACTCATAAATTGTACAATTTAGTAGAAATGGACCAATTCCTTGAAAATCACGAACTTCTAAAACTAACCAAGATGAAATAGACAATCTACATGGTATAAAAGCCATTAAGTAACTTAAATTCATAATGAAAAAGTTCCTGAAAAAGAAAGCCTCAGGACTTTCTTTTTGGTTTCACTGGAGAATTCTACCAAATATTTAAAAAAGAATTATCATCAGTTTTAGTCAATCTCCTCCAAAAAAATAAAAGATGAGGAAATACGTTTCATGAGTCTAGTATAATGTTGATACCAAAAACAGAGAAAGACAGTGCAAAGAAAGAAAATGGAAAACCAGTATCTCTTACGAACTAAAATCCTCAATAAAGTATTATCAATTACATGCAACAATGTATAAAAAGAATTAAGTGCCACGACAATTTGACATTTATTTGAAATATACAGAAAACTACTTCAGTAGTAGAAAAACAATAAATCTAATCTACCATGTCAACGAGCTAAAGATGAAAAATCAAATGATCATATCGATTGATGCAAAAATAGCATCTGACAAAATTCAAAACCCATTCATAATAAGAACTCTCAGCAAACTAGGACTAGATGGGACCTTAACTTGATTAAGAGCATCTAGAGAAAACCTATAGCTAACAGCATACTTAATGGTGAAAGAATGTTTTCCTTCAAAAATTGGAAACAAAGCAATAATATCTTCTCTGACTACTTTTATTCAACATAGTACTAGAAATGCTAGGTAGCACAGTAACGCAAGAATATGTGCTAAAACCACATAGATTAGAAAGTAAGAAATAAAACTCTCCCTGTTTGCAGACCACTTGATTATCTGCATAGGAAAAAATGACTATAAGAATAAGTCATTTTAGCTGCTTTGTGGCATATAAGATAAACACAAAAAGAAAAAAATCAATTGGATTTCTATATACTATAAACAAACATTTGGAAACTGAAATTTAAATAACACCATTTACAATTGTTCAAAAGAAAATAAAATATCTAGATACAAACTTAAAAGCACACATATGTTATCTTTATGCAAAAACTGCCAAACAAAGAAATAAAAGGACACTTGAATAAAGACACATTCTGTGTTCAAATATTGAAAAATTCAGCATAGTAATGATGTCAGTTCTCCCCTAATTGAACCATAAATTTAATGCTATACCCTGGCAAGTGTTTTGTGGCTATAAAATTATATAAATTCATTCTAAAATTATATGGAAAAACACAAAACCTAGAACAGCTAAGACAATTTTTAAAAAGAACAAAGTGGAAAGAATAACTCTACCCAATGAAAGTTTCATTCTGTATCTACAGTATTCAAGATAGTATAGTATTGGCAGAGAAATAAAAACATAAATCAATGAAACAGAATAGAGAACCTATAATAGGCTTATACAAATATATTCAATTGGTTTTTAATAAAGATGCAAAAGCAGTTCAATGGAGAATAGACTTCAACAAATGGTGCTGGAGCAATTGGAAATCAACAGGCAAAAAAAAAAAGAATCTCAGTCTATGCCTCATGCTTTATTACAAAATTATTTCAAAATACATAGTAGGCTTTAATATAAAAAGTATTATATATATATACTGTAAAACTGTCAGAAGAAAAAAAAAAGCAAAAGTCTTTACGACCTGGGGCTAGATGAATGAAGAGGCCTTAGACTCAACACAAAAAGCACGGTTCATACAATGTAAATTTCACAAACTTGAGCTCATCAACATAAAAAAATTTTGTTCTGTGAAAGAATGAAAACAAAAACTGCAGGCCGGGTGCAGTGGCACAGTCCTGTAATCCCAGCACTTTGGAAGGCCGAGGCAGGCGGATTACCAACCTGGCCAACATGGTGAAACCTTTTCTCTACTAAAAATACAAAAACTACCCAGACATGGTGGCGGGCACCTGTAATCCCAGCTACTCTGGAGGCTGAGGCGGGAGAATCGCTTGAACCCAGGTGGCGGAAGTTGCAGTGAGCCAAAATGGCACCACTGCACTCCAGTCTGGGCAACAGAACGAGACTCCGTCTCAAAAAAGAGGATCAAAACAAGACAACAGTTAATCTATGAATGACAAAATATTGACAAATCATGTTTTTAACTGTGATTGCCCTAAAACACACAATGACATATGATGATTTTATGTAATATTTATAATTATTAATGATAACATACTGTAAATCATATCAGAATTGTAGGAGTTTCCCATTATTTGGAACACATACCAGTAACATATTTATACAAATGCAGCTAAAAGAAAGCTAACATCATTTCACATTTGACATTGCATCCTGTATGATTTGTATACCAAATAAACATTTCATCTTTGCATTGATGTGCTATTAATGTTAAACCCACTCCTTTTGTTTGTTTGTTTGTTTTTGTTTATGTTTTTTTGAGACGGAGTTTTGCCCTTTTGCCCAGGCTGGAGTGAAATGGTACAACGTCAGCTCACTGCAACCTCCAACCCCCAGGTTCAAGTGACTCTCCTACCTCAGCCTCCCAAGTAGCTGGAATTACAGGCGCCCGCCACCAGGCCTGGCTAATTTTTTGTAGTTTTAGTAGAGATGGGGTTTCACCATGTTTTAGTAAAGATGGGGTTTCGCCAGTAGGCTGATCTCAAACTCCTGACCTCAGGTGATCCACCCACCTCAGCCTCCCAAATAAACCCACTTCTTAATAAAACCTATCCAGTTTTAATCAGTTTGACCAGAAGGTAAGATTTTTCTAAACGTTGTATAACCCTTTACAATTTTTGTTAAAGAGCAGATCAGTGTTCTGAGACAACCCTGTTGTGCTTTTATTCCAATGTTCAATTTATGGAAAAACTGAATAATACCCCTTTAACTATCCAGTATGTTCACACACAGAATCTCTTTTACAATTAATTTTTCACAAACCTTCCACAATTTGTTCAAACCTTCATCTTTATCCTAACTTAAAACAATCCTTTAATATTTAATCTAGCCAAATAATTCCACATTTCCATGCCTTCTTATAATCTTTTACCAAAAGCACATCTTACTTTCCTTACACTTTGCATGTAAAACTGTTTCTTCAGTAGTCTCAATTATGTGTTACAATGTTAACTCAGCAATTTTTATTTTTAAGCCATTTAATTAGAGCTCTTTCCTATGTAAACATCATACACACAACACATACAAATACATACACAGACATAAGATCCAGTAGTTAAAAGGTTTTTCACTTGCCAGTTTCTTAATTCAATTACTGGCTTTAGGGTTGATCCCTTGGAGGAACAGGGCCAGGAAAGCATGCAGTTTCTATGGCCTAATAACCAGGCTCAGCTGGAAGGCAAAAACAGGTCCCCAGAATTAAGGGTCTCATTTTTATACTGAATCCTGGATCCCCAAAAGAGAAATGCTATGTAAGAAAACAGTGTGATGATTTTACTGTGCATTTCATTGCAAAGCAATCTGAAGCCAATCAGCCCATCCCCATGGGAATCTTCTCTCTTAGTGAGGGGTGGGGACATCATCATACCTTCCAGGTGGCCAGGAGCATGCTTCTGTAATCCAAACGTGCAGAGAGCTGAGTATCTTTCCATAACTGACATTAGCTATCCCCAAAAGTATATTTCCTACCCAGTTGTTACACACCAGAGTTCTCTCATAATGTGAAGTAATTTCTGATATCCCAAAAAATAAAAAACATAAGATAACGTAATTCAAGACAAAACAGAACCTTAGATTTTGAGAGGGATCTGTCTACTTTCAATTCCTGGGGTTTCATGAGGAAAACAGAAGTTTTTCCCAAAATGGGGTCTGTGGTGCCTTCTCTGTTTTTCCCTAGGCTGTTAAAGCTTGAATATTTACTTTTAATTAAGCTTTTAACCATAGCACTCTTTTAAAAAAGTTTTTTTAAAAATCTCTTATTACCCAGCTTTAGTCACGCCAAACTGCCAATATTTCTGGCTTTTGAACTTTACTAAATGTAACCTCCCAGGGGCTCAGTGAAAGGAAAGTTTAAGACAGTTCATGGAGGAGAGGTGAATCAACAAATGGCAAAGGTTACCCAAAGATCAGCCAGGAAGTACTCATTACCTAGGCTGAAAATTGAACCTGAATCCAGGGCCACTATTGGGAAAAGACAAAGCTTTAACTGCTAAGCTACAGCACTGGGCAATTTCTATTGCCCTTCCCAGAAAAAGCCTAGAGCAGTAAATTTTGAGTTTGAAATGGCTTTTAAATGCTCAAGATAATTTTTAGAGCTAAGTAGGACATGAATCCCAAAATTCCTATTTCCTGGAAGGTAGAGACCAAGAGAAGGTACTGCCACATGATTACAAGGTCAAGCTCCCAAGGACATTTTTCAGCATGTGGTCTCTGGGCAAGATGGTTGCCCTGTGTAACAGAAAAGATAGGAAAGGGAAAGGGGAGAAAGAGTTTGCACTGCCTGTGGCAGGGCGGGGAGGGTCAGGGAACTCAGGAGCTCAGGGAAGCCAGAGAAAGTCCCACCCATTGCAGTGACACTGAATGAAAAGTTCAGGCAGCCACTTGTCAGTAATGAAGGGTTTCTTTTCCACAAGACCCATCAGCTCTGAAGTTTCCCCCTTTGGGGAGAAAAAAGCTCTCCATGTCCCATAATTTTGTACATGCCTAATTCTGTCACCAACAGCCATCAGCAAAGATTGCAAGGCAGATTAATCCAAAGAGAATAGTAATTAAAATTCTTTAATGCCAAATACATTTTTAACCAAATGGACTTTACCAAGAGGGGCCTCTAACCCCCTCAATCTTAGGAAGAACTCTAACCTTCCTATGTTGGGCCTTGAACCCAAGTTCATTCAAGCATCCTTGCCTTTTATCAAGAGGGGCTTTTAACCCACTCTGTCTTAAGAGAGACTCTAACTTTCCCAAGTTGGGACTCAAACCCAATCCCATCCTTTACCTGGGTACCCCACCACTTACTGAAAGTCGGCCAATCAGTGCTGCAGTCTATTTCCTTTGGGTTGGGGGTTTCCTCAGTATTGTCCCTTTGGGGGTTATCAGGGAGATGCTGCCTGAACAGGGTCCTGATCCAGCCCCAAGAGAGGGTTCTTGAACCTCACAGAAGAAAGAATTAGAGACAAATCCATAAAAAGAGAGCAAGTTTATTAGATAAATAAATAAATAAAATGGCTACCCAATGGGCAGAGCAGCAGCATGAGCTGCTGGTTGGCCACTTTTATGGTTATTTCTTGATTATATGCTAAGTAAGGGGTACATTATTCATGAGTTTTCCAAGAAAAGGGGAGGCAATTCCTGGAACTGAGAGTTCCTCATTTTTTTAGACCATATAGGGTAATTTCTGACATTGCCATGGCATTTGTAAACTGTCATGGCATTGGTGGGAGTGTCTTTTAGCATGCTAATGCATTACAATTAGTTTATAACAAGTAGTAAAGCCAACTAGAGGTCACTGTCATTGCCATCTTGGTTTTAGTGGATTTTGGCTGGCTTCTTTACCACAGCCTGTTTTATCAGCAAGGTCTTCATGACCTGTATCTTGTGCTGACCCCCTAGCTCATCCTGTGAGTAAGTGTATTAGTCCATTCTCATGCTCCTAATAAAGACATAGGAGAGACTGGGTAATGTGAAAAGGAAAGAGGTTTAATTGACTCACAGTTCCACGTGGCTGGGGAGGCCTTACAATCATGGCGGAAGGAGAAGGAAAAGTCACATCTTACATGGTGACAGGCAAGAGAGCTTGTGCAGGGGAACTCCCATTTATAAAACCATCATGTCTCATGAGATTTATTCACTACCATGAGAACAGTATGGGGGAAATTACCCCCATGATTCAATTATCTCCACCTGGCGCTGCCCATGACACATGGGAATTATTATAATTCAAGGTGAGATTTGAGTAGGGACATAGCTAGACTCTATCAGTAAGAATGTCGTAACTCCTGGGAATGCAGCCCTGTACGTCTCAGCCTTGTTTTACCTAGCCCTTATTTAAGATGGAGTCACTCAGGTTCAAACACCTCTGACAGGAGGATCACTTGAGACCAGGAGTTCAAGACCAGCCTGGGCAACAAAATGAGACCCCATCTCTACAAAAAATAAATAAAATAATACAAATTAGCTAGGCATGTTAGTGCACAACTGTAGTTCTAGCTACTCAAGAGGCTGAGGTGGGAGGATCACTTAAGCCCAGAAAGCAGAAACTGCAGTGAGCTGTGATCACACCACTGCACAGAAAAAGAAAAAAAAAAAAACTGTCAGTCAACCAAGGAATACTATTTTTAAAAAATGAAGATGAAATAAAGACATGTCCAAATAAAAAAGTTTGTTGTCAGCAGACTCACCATGCAAAAAATAAAATTACAGAAAATTTTTAAAAGCAGTTGACCAGAGATAGTGAGTCAAATGCATACACACAAAAACAAGGAGCACTAGTAAAGTGCAAAGACCAGCTCAGTCAGGGAGACCCTAACCCAGTGGTGCTAGAGGAATTAAAGACACACAGAAATATAGAGATGTGAAGTGGGAAATCAAGGGTCTCACAGCCTTCAGAGCTGAGAGCCTGAACAGAGATTTACCTATGTATTTATTAACAGCAAGCCAGTCATTAGCATTGTTTCTATAGATATTCGATGAACTAAAAGTATCCCTTATGGGAAACGAAGGGATGGGCCAAAATAAAGGGGTGGGTCTGGCTAGTTATCTGCAGCAGGAACATGCCCTTAAGGCACAGATCGCTCATGCTATTGTTTGTGGTTTAAGAATGCCTTTAAGCGGTTTTCCGCCCTGGGCGGGCCAGGTGTTCCTTGCCCTCATTCCCGTAAACCCACAACCTTCCGGCGTGGGCCTTACAGCCATCATGAGCATGTCACAGTGCTGCAGAGATTTTGTTTATGGCCAGTTTTGGGGCCAGTTTATGGCCAGATTTTGGGGGGCCTGTTCCCAACAGTAAAGCTAATTGTACAATTATAGAAGACAGTATAAGTGCATATTTCTTGTCCTTTTTCTCCTAATTAATTTAAAAAACAATACATGTATAATTGGTTGAACCTACAACATATAGACATGTAATATATTTGACAGGGAAAGCACAAAGAAGATGGGTGGAAGCAAAGCTGAATTGCAGTAAGTACATAACACCAGATGGTATGTCAAATCCACAGGAACAAAATAATAAAACCAGAAATGGGAAATAAGATGGTTAATATAATAAGCCATATAAATATATTCTTGTCCTTTCGGTTTCTTTAATAGACATAAATTATATAAGGTAATAATTATAGCAATCTTTTGTTGGGTTTTGAGTGTGTGCATATGTCTGTATACATATATGTGCATATACATATATATATCTGTGTGTGATTGTGTATACTTATGCATAAGTATACACATGCATATGTAGTATGTGTAGTAATGGCACAAAAAGAGAGAAGAGAGAATAGAACTATTTAGGAGTAACATTTCTATATTTCATGGAATTAAGTTCTGATAAGATATTCATCGTAAAACCCTAGAGCAACGATTAAGAATATAGCTCCAAAAATATGGTTAAAAAAGGGAATTAAAATATTACACTAGAAAATATTCACTTCATGTAAAAGAAAACATTAAAAGGGAATAAAGGAACTAATAAGAGACATATAGAAAACATAGAGAAAAATGGCAAATGTAAATCCAGATATATCATTAATATCATTAAATGTGAATGGATTTAACAATTCAATCATAAGGCATACATTGTCAGACTGAATGACAAGTATTTTTAAAAACCCATCTGTGTGCTTTCTGCAGTAGACATATTGTGTATTCAGAGATACATATGGATTGAAATTAAAAGGATAGAAAAAATATATATTATGCTGATATAGTCTGGATCTGTGTCCACACCCAACTCTCATGTTCAGTGTTGGAGGTGGGGCCTGGTGGGAGGTGACTGGATCATGAGGGCAGCTTCTCATGAATGGTTTAGTACCATCCCCTTGGTGCTGTTCTTGTGATATTTAGTGAGTTCTTGAGAGATCTGGTCGTCTGAAAGTGTGTAGCCCCTTCCCACTTGCTCTCTCATGCTGCTGCTCTGGCCATGTAAGACGTGTCTTCTGCCATAATGTAAGTTTCCTGAGGCCTCCCCAGATGCCCAGCAGATGCCATCATCATGTTTCCTGTACAGCCTGCAGAACTGTGAGCCAGTTAAACCTGTTTTCTCTATAAATGACCCAGTCTCAGGTATTTCTTTATAGCAATATGAGAATGGACAAATACACATGGAAACAACAAACCAAAGAAAAATAAAATATATAATTAAAATTCTTTATCAGTTTGCATACTTCTATAAAAAGGTGCTTCCCTTTAACTATTATTTAGTTATGAATTGATACAGTTAATGTAGAAAAAACAGAAGTGCTTAATACTTTTTCTTTGTTTGATTTGAGTTCATTAACATTTCTGAAACTTCCTTTATGGCCCAGTAGATTGTCTACTTTGGTAATTATTAACATTTGATCTTGAAGAGGTCTATAACATTTGGCAATGGTTGGTTTACTGTTGCATATATGTACATTAGGACAAATTTATTTCTTGTGGTTTTCAGACATTTTACATTTTTATTAATTTTATCAATTTTTCAGTTAGAGAGGTATACAAAAATATCTAACCACTTTTTATGTGGATTTGTCTATTTTTTCTTTGAATTCAGTTAACTTCTACTTCATGTTTTTTGCCAGGTACAGTAGCACATGCTATAATCCCAGCTTCTCTGGAGGCTGAGGCAGGAGGATCACTTGAGCCAATAGTTTGAGTCCAGCCTGGGCATCATAGTGAAACACCCTGTCTCAAAAAAATAAATAAATAAAATAAATAGATAGACAGATAGAGAGGCACACTATCTTACTGGGTATTGACAATATTTTTATATCTGCATATTTGAATTGACACTTTTAACATTCTGAAATGTTTTTCATCTCTAATAGCATTTCTTGCCTTATAAGCTACTTTTTTGGTATGCTAATGCTACAACCAGTCTATTTTGCTTGGTGCTTTCATGATAATCTATTTTCATCATTCTCATTTCACCCTTGTCATTAAATTTTAAATGTAAATGACTCTTGTAAACATTTTTTTACTTCTTTCCTGAAACTTGTTTTGCACTCACTGTATTTAGACAGTTTTCATTTATTATAATTATTAATAACTCAATGTTTGTTTTCTATTTAGCCCACTGGTTTCCTTTTTCTCTTACTTCCTTACCTTATTTTAGATTAATACAGTAGCTTTTATTATTCAGTTTTCTTCTTCAGTTAACTTGTTATATATTCTTCGAATGTGTTTTAGGGGTTTGGGTTTTTTTAAGGACTACCCAAGGGTATATTTCAACATCCATCCATTATAGTTTCTACTAATAATAATCACTTTTACCATTTCTAATATGAATAATTGCTTTTTTAATTTTAATTTCTAATTTTTGTGTGTACATAATAAATGTATATATTTATAGGGCACATGAGATGTTTGCTACACGCATGCAATGCATAATAGTCACATCATGGAAATGGGGTATCAATCCCCTCAAGCATTAATCCTTGCTGTTATAAACAATCCAATTATACTCTTTTAGTTATTTTTAAATAGATAATTAAGTTAATTTCTGTAGTCACTCTGTTTTGCTATCACATACTAGGACTTATTCATTCATTCTGTTTTTTGTACCTACTAACCATCCCTACCTCCACCTTACCCTCTCCCCCTCTACCCTTCCTAGCCTCTGGTAACCATCTTTTTACCCTCTAACTCCATGGGTTCAATCGTTTTAATTTTTAGATCCCACTAGTAAGTGAGAGCAATGTTTTTCTTTCTGTGCCTCGCTTATTTCACTTAACATAATGACATCCAGTTCCACTGATGTTGTTGCAAATGACTGAATCTCATTCTTTTTTATGGCTGAATTATACTCCACTGTATATAAGAACCACATTATCTATTAATCTATTGATGGACACAGGTTGCTTCCAAATCTTAGCTATTGTGAACACAGCTGCAACAAACATGGGAGTGCAAATATCTATTCAATATATTGTTTCCTTTTTTTTTTCAGTATATACCCACCAGTATGCTAATGCTACAACTAATGCTGCAGTAGGATTTCTGGAACATATGCCAGCTTAATTTTTTGTTTTTAAAGAAACCTCCAAACTATTCTTCATAGAGTTTGTAATAATTTACATTCCCACCAGTAGTGTACAAGGGTTCCCTTTTCTTCACATTCTCACCAGCATTTCTTATTGCCTGTCCTTTTGATAAAAGCCATTTTACTTGGGGTGAGATCATATTATAGTTTTGATTTTCATTTCTCTGATGGTTAATTATGTTGAGCACCTTTTCATATGCCTATTTGCCATTTATATCAAATATTTTGCCTATTTTTAAATTGAATAGATTTTTTTCCTGTACAGTTGTTGAGCTCCTTATATATTCTGGTCATTAATCCCTTGTCCGATGGGTAGCTTGCAAATATTTTCTCCATTCTGTGGGTTGTCTCTTCACTCTATTGATTGACCTTTGCTGTGCAAAAGACATTTAATGTGATATACTCCTATTTGTCCATTTTTGCTTTGGTTACCTATGCTTGTGGAGTGTTACTCAAGAAATCTTTGCCCAGATCAATGTCCTGGAGAGTTTCCCCTATGTTTTCTTGTAGTTTCATAGTTTGAGGTCTTACATTTAATTATTTAATGCATTTTTATTTGATTTTTGTATATGGTGAGACATAGGTATCTAGTTCCTTTTTTTTTTTTTTTTTTTTTGCATAATGGATATTCAGTTTTCCCAGCACCATTCATTGAAGAAAGAGTTTTTTTCCAGTGTGTGTTCTTGGCATCTTTGTTGAAAATAAGTTCACTGTAGGTATGTGGATTTGTTTCTGGGTTCTCTATTCTGTTCCATTAACCTAGGTGTCTGTTTTTATGTCAGTATCATGATGTTTGGGTTATTATAGCTTTGTAATATAATTTGGAGTCAGGTAATATGATTTCTTCCAGTTTTGTTCTTTTTCCTTAGGATAGCTGTGGCTATTCTGGGTTTTCTGTGGTTCCATATAAATTTTAGGATAGTTTTTTCCATTTCTGTATAGAGTAACATTAGTATTTTGATAGGGATTGTATTAAATCTGTAGATTGCTTTGGGTACTATGAACATTTTAACAATAGTTACTCTTCTAATCCATGAACATGGAATATGTTTATATTTTTTATCTCTTTATTTTATTAGTGTATCATAGTTTTCATTAATCTTTCATTAAGATCTTTTGCTCTTTGGTTAAATTAATTCCTAAGTATTTACTTTTGTGTGTGGCTATTGTAAATGGGGTTATTTTTATTTATTTTTCAGATTGTTCACTGTTGGCAGATAAAAATGCTACTGATTTTTGTATGTTGATTTTGTATCCTGTAACTTCACTGAATTTATCAGTTCTAATAGTTTTCTTGTGTAGTCTTTAGGTTTTTCCACATATAATGTCATATCATCTGCAAACAAGGAAAATTTTACTTCTTCCCTTTCAGTTTGGATTTTCTTTATATATTTCTCTTGTCTGACTGGTCTATCTAGAACAGCCATTACTATGTTGAGTAACACTGATGACAATGGGCATACTGGTCTTCTACCAGATCTTAGAGGAAGGGCTTTCAGTTTTTCCCCATTCATTATGATACTAGCTGTGGGTCTGTCATGCATGGTTTTTATTATGCTCAGTTATATTCAGTCTATCCTCAGTTTTTTGATGGCTTTTATCACAAAGGGATGTTGAATTTTATCAAATGCTTTGTTAGCATCAATTGAAATGATCATATGGTTTTCCCCATCATTCTGTTGATATGATGTATTACATTGACTGATTTGCATATGTTGAACAATCCTTGAATCCCAGGAATAAATCCCACTTGGTCATGGTGAATGATCTTTCTGATGTATTGCTGAATTCATTTTACTAATATTTCATTGAGGAGTTTTGCATCAATATTCATGAGAGATATTGGCCTATAGTTTTCTTTTTTATGTGTGTTTGGTCTTAGTATCAGGGTAATATTAGCCTCACACAATGAATTTAGAAGTATTCCCTCGTCTATTTTTCAGAATAGTGTGAATAGAATTGGTATTAATTCTTCTTAAAATGTTTGGTAGAAAGCAGGGAAGCCATCGGGTCTTGGACTTCTTTACTGGGAGATATTTTATTACAGCTTTGATCTCATTACTTGTTATTGCTCTATTCAGGTTTTAGATTTCTTCATGTTTCAACCATGTTAGGTTATACATATCTAGGAATTTGTCCATTTCTACTAGATTTTGCAATTTATTGGGATACAGTTGCTAATAGTAGCCACTAATGATCCTTTGAATTTCTGCAGTATCAATTGTAATGTCACCTTTTTTATTTTTGATTGTATTTATTTGGATCTTCCCTCTCTCTTTTTTTCTAGTTAATGTGGCTAATGGTTTGTCAATATTGTTTAATTTTTCAAAAAAAACTTAAATGTTTGTTTCATTGATCTTTGATTTTTTTTTCTTCATTCCAATTTGATTTCTTTCTCCTCTGATCTTTATTTCTTTTCTGCTACTACTCTTGGGTTTGGTTTGCCCTTGCTTGTCTAGTTCTTTAAGATGCATTATTAGATTGCTTATTTGAAGTTTCCTCCTTTTTTAATGTAGGCCCTTACAGCTATAAACTTCCCTCTTAGTACTGCTTTTGCTGTATCCCATAGGTTTTGATATGTATTGTTTCTGTTATCATTTGTTTCAATAAATTTTTCAGTTTTCTTCTTAATTTCTTAATTGACCCAGTGGTCATTCAGGAGCATATTGTTTAATTTCTATATATTTGTATAGTTTCCAAAATTCCTCTTGTTATTGATTTCTAGTTTTATTTCATTGTGGTCAGAGAAGATGCTTGATATTATTTTAGTTTTTAAAAAATGTTTTAAGACATATTTTGTGACCTAACATATGGTCTATTCTAGAGAATGTTCCATGTGCTAAGGAGAGGAATGTGTACTCTGCAGCCATTGTGTGAAATGATGTGTAAATATCTATTAGATCTATTTGGTCTATACTGCAGACCAAATCTGATGTTTCTTTGATTTTCTTCCTGGAAGATCTTTCCAATGCTTAAAGTAGGTGTTGAAGTCTCCAGCTACTATTGTGTTGGGGCCTCTCTCTCTTTAGCTGTAGTAATATTTGCATTATTTATCTGAGTGCTCAAGTACTGGGGGCATACATATTTAAAATTTTTATATCCTCTTCCTGAATTGACTTGTTTATCATTATATAGTGACCTTCTTTGTCTCTTCTAATAGTTTGGCCTTGAAATCTATTTTGTCTGATATAAGTGTATCAATTCCTGCTCTTTTTATGTTTTTATTGGCATGGAATATCTTTTTCCATTCCTTTATTTTCAGTCTATGGTGTCTTTGTAGGTGAAGTGTTCTTCTCGTAGGCAACAGATCAATAGGTCTTGTTTTTCCATCCATTCTGCCAGTCTTTGTTTTTTAATGGAAGCATTTAGTGTAATTACATTCAGTGTTATTATTGATAAGTAAGGATTTTCTCCTGCCATTTTATTATTTGTTCTCTGGTTGTTTTGTGGTCTTTTCATCCTGTCTTTCTTTAGTGAAGATGATTTTCTCTGGTGATATGACTTAGTTTCTTGCTTTTTATTTTTTTCTCTCCATTGTATGTTTTTTGGTTTGATATTACCATGAAGCTTGCAAATACTATCTTATAACATATTATTTTAACCTGATAACAACTTAACACTTTTTGCATAAACAAACAAGCAAGCAAGCCACAAACTAATAAAAGTCTACACTTTAACGTTATCCCTCCACTGTTTAACTTTTTGTTTTTTCTATTTATATCTTAATGTACGGACTATGTCTTCAAAAGTTTTTATAATTATTATTTTTAATTGGTTTATTAGTCTTTCTACTTAAGATAAGAATAGTCTGCAAACCCCAGTTACAGTGTTGTAATATTCTGTATTTTTCTGTGTACTTACTATTACCAGTGAGTTTTGTACCTTCAGGTGATTACTTACTGCTTTTTTTCTGATCGAAGTACTTCGTTTAGCGTGTCTTGTAAGACAGATCTGGTGTTGATAAAAATCCCTCAGCTTTTGTTGGGAAAGTCTTTATTTCTTGTTCATGTTTGAAAAATATTCTATTCTAGGGTAAAAGATTTCTTCTTTCAGCACTATAAATATGTCATGCCCCTCTTTCTTGGTCTATAAGGTTTCCACTGAAAAATCTGCTGCCAAAAGTATTGGAGCTATATTGTATGTTATTTGTAGTTTTTTTTTTATTTTTCTCATGCTGCTTTTAAGATCCTTTCTTTATCCTTGACCATTGGGAGTTTGAATACTAAATACCATGAGGTATTAAATAATCTTAGGGTTCAATCTGCTTGATGTTCTATACCACTCTTCTACAATGGCTATTGATATCTTTCTCTAGGTTTGGGAAGTTCTCTGTTATTATCCTTTTGAATAATCTTTCTACCCCTATTTCTTTCTGTATCTCCTCTTTTTAGGCCTGTAACTCTTGGATTTGCCCTTTTGAGACTATTCTCTTGATCGTGTAGGCATGTTTCTTATTCTTTTTTCTTTTGTCTCCTCTGTGTAGTTTCAAATGGCCTGTATTCAAGCTCACTAATTCTTTCTTCTGCTTAATCAGTTCTGCTGTTAAAGGACTTTGATGCACTCTTTAGTATGCCAATTATATTTTTAAGCTTTAGAATTTCTTGTTGCTTCTTTTTTAGTTACTTAATTCTCTTTGTTAAATTTATCTGATAGAAGTCTGAATTTCTTCTCTGTCTTGTCTTGAATTTATTCTTGAGTTTATTCAACACAGCTATTTTGTATTCTTTGTCTCAGTGGCCACATATCTCTGTTTTTCCAGGTTTGGACCCTGGTGCCTTATTTAGTTCATGTGGTGAGGTCATGTTTTCCTGGGTTGTCTTGATACTTGCAGATGTTCATCTGTGTCTGGGCATTAAAGTGTTATGTATTTCCTGTAGTCTTTGCAGTCTGTGCTCATTTGTACTCATCCTTCTTGGGAAGGCTTTCCAAATATTATGAAAGGACCTGAGTGTTATAAGCTTTAGCGGGCATCCCAAGCCCAGTAACGCTGAGATTCTTGCAGACTTGTAAAGGTACCACCTTGATAATCTTATACAAGATCCTAAAGAATTCTCTGGATTATCAAGCAGGCTATTGTTGTCCTCCCTTCCTTTCTCCCAAAAAAAATGAGTCTTCTCTCATTCTCTCTCTCTCTCCCCGCTGCCCCTCTCCCCACTCTCTCTCTCTCTCCCTCTCTCTCTCTCTCCTCCCCTCCCCCCGCTCTCTCCCCCCTCTCTCTCCTTGAGCTACCTGGAGCTGATGGTGGTGTAGCACAAGCACCCTTGTGGCCACCATCTCTAGGACTGCACTGGATCAGGCCTGAAGCCAGCACAATATTGGGTCTTGCTCAAGTCCTGCTGTAACCACTTTCTGGCTACCATCTATGCCCGCTCCCGCTCCCGCTCCCTCTCCCTCTCCCTCTCCCTCCTTGAGCTACCTGGAGCTGGTGGTGGTGTAGCACAAGCACCCTTGTGGCCACCATCTCTAGGACTGCACTGGATCAGGCCTGAAACCAGCACAACACTGGGTCTTGCTCAAGTCCTGCTAGAACCACTTTCTGGCTACCATCTGTGTTCACTCAAAGTCCTGCAGCTCTACAATCAGCAGGTTACAAAGCCAACAGGGCCTATTTTCTTCCCGTCAGGGCAGCAAGTTCCCCCAGGCCCTAGGTGAGTCCATAGGTGCCATCCAGGAGCCAGGGACTGAAGTAAAGTCCTTAGATGTCCACCTAGTGTTCTCTTGTAGTATGGCTGAGCTTGCCCTCAAACCGCATGACATAGTCCTTTGCACTTTTCCCTTCACATTCCAAAAGCAGAGGAGCCTAACCCCATGGCAACCACCATCTCAGGCTTATGGCGAGTACTGCCATTCTACCTCAGATATTTCCTTAAGGCCCAAAGGCTCTTCTATCAGTCTGTGGTGAATGCTGCCTGGTCTTGAACTCACCCTTCAGGGGAGTGGTATACCCTCTGGCCCAGGGCATGTCCCAGAATGTCATCCAAGAGGCAGTTCCTGGAAATCCCAAGAGCCTACTTGATGCTCAACCCCCTGTGGCCAAGTTGGTACCCGAGTTGCAAGACAAAGTCCCTTTCACTTTTCCTTCTGCTTTTCTCAAGCAGAAGGAGTTTTGCCCCATAGCCACCACAGGTGGGAATGTGCAGAATCTCACCTGATGCCAGCAAGTCTCACCATCTCACCCAAGCCCTTGATACCTGGGTATCACTGCTCATTATTCAGTGCCCAAGGGCTCTTTAGTTTGCAGTTGATGAATCCTGCCAGGACTGGATCCTTCCCTACAAGGCTGTGGGTTCCCTTCTGGTCCAGGGTGTATCTAGAAGTGTCCAGGAGCTAGGGCCTAGAACGAGGACCTCATGACTCTGACCAGTGCCCTATCCTGCTCTGGCTGAGCTGGTATCCCAGCTCCAAGACAAAGTCGTCCTCACACTTTGTCTCCTCTCCTCAAGTGGATGGAAGTGTCTCTTTTGGAGCCACAAGCTGTGCATCCTGGGGTTAGGGGAGGGGTGATGTCAGTACTCCCTTAGATGGTGTCTCAGTAGGTCGCTTCCCTCTCCACCCCCAGTCCACTGTCAGTGGACCCTGTTCAGCCCTAGGACTCACCTAATTATTGCAGTCCTTGTGGCCTCAACTGCCTTTGAAGTTTATTTGCTGCCCCAGAGCACTTTAGTGCCAGATGGTGAAGCTTTCAGGAACTCAAGTTCTGATTGCTAGGATCAGCAGTTCCCCTATGGCTAGGGATGGTCAGCTGAGTTTTATCCAGTTTCGCTTTCTGCTATAACAAGGGCAACACCGAGTTCAGTGCCTCAAAATTGCCTGCTGTCCTTCTCCCCAGGGCACAGAAATGCTGTCTGCACCACACCTCCACTGCCACGGGATAGGACAGGGGTCCTGTTGACTATTCAAAACTTTTTCTATGTCTTCAATGCCTCTTTTAGCAATATGAAGTTAAAACCAGGTACTATGAGTGCTCACCTGAGTTTGAGTTTTACGAAGGTACTTTTTTTGTGTAGATAGTTGTTAAATTGGTGTACTTGCAGGGGGTGGCGGAGGCAACAATTGGTGGAGCTTTTTGTTCCACCATCTCACTCCACCCCTCTCTTCAGTAATTGCCTTTTTATTCGTATCTTTCTTGAATTTGAGGAAATTCTTAGACATTATTTTTGGTTATTACTTCTTCCTATTCTATCTTCTCTTTCTGGAATCCAATTATACTATATTTTTGAGTGTGTCCCACATGTTTTGTGGCTTTTTATATTTTTCCTCTTTCTTTTTTCTTGTTGTTTACTTTCTCTGCATCAGTTTGTGGAGGTTTTTTTATTGTTGTTGATCTGTCTTTGAGTTTAGTATTCCTATGTTTTGTAGTGTTTCTCCCTTTTACCTGTGTTTGCATTATTTACCCCTGATGAACTTTGTAATTTCCCTTCTATTATGTCCATTAAACTTTTTTAGATTCCAATGCTGTGGTGATATTCTGTACCATTTCATCCATTTTGTTAATTTTTTTTCTATTTTCTTGAACATATTAATCATAGTTTACTTGAAAGTTCTTGGCTGTAAACTTTCAATGCATCTCTTTTGGGGGTTTTTTTTGTTCTGTTTTTTCCTCTCAATTTTGGGTTCTACTTTCTGGCAAATCAAGTAATTTTTAATAATTTTATGTTATATGTAAAAGACTCATATTGGCCATAGGTGACTTAATCATAGAACATTCCTCCTTCTTCTGTAGGCAGAAAGTGTGAGAAATCAATTACTACAATCCCATCAGGAATTGAGCTGGATTACAGCTGGGCTACGAACATGGTGGGTTTTCCATTCCCTCAGTCATGAAAGACACTAGGAGGTTTAGCTCTAATATTCATAGGCTGCAGCCCAGCTCTCTTGTCTCCAGCCTAACCAATATAGCCTCAAAAACTAGCAAATACTTTGACAGGAAATAGGCATTGTACTTTGGTCAGACTTACTTCCCTAGCAAGTCTTTGTTTTTCAATTATTATGAACAATGCAAAAGATTTCATTTTGCCTTTCATAAGCTTTTTGTCTAGCTTTGCATGCTTCTGTATACCACCAGAATCTACAATTGCTCCAAGGAGAAAAACATCCATGAGCTTGGGTTTATTCAAATTTTTAAGTTTAAATGTTTTAAGAGGTTTCTGGCTAATTCTTCCTTAGCAGAGGTTGTCTGCCTAGTAAAATTAACAGTCAGCCTATGTCCAAAATCAACAAATACACACAGTGGGGGTGGCTTGGTAGGAAAAGCTGGACATTATCCGTTTTACTCTGGAAAGTTTCCTCCTCTTTGGAATTTTATTTCACTTAATCATTATTATTTCTGCAATTATCTGATATCTTTAAAAGCAGCATTTTTATAATTATGTGATGTTTTCCACTTGTTACAGTAAAAGTATTACCCTGCTGTGACATTTTGCATCCTACCCAGAAACAGAACTCCTGTATTATATTTTTTAACTGATTATTGCTAGGATTAAATAAAAAAGATACTTCTGTTTAAATCTCTTTGATTCTGGTTTGTGTAATGCTCTGTGTGTCAGGCACTGTTGTAATTGCTTTAAAATTACTAACTCATTTTAATTCTCTGTATTAGTCTGTTTCACGCTGCTGATAAAGACATACCTCAGACTGGGCAATTTACAAAAGAAATAAGTTTGTTGGACTTACAGTTCCCCATGGCTGGGGAGGCCTCACAATCATGGTGGACAGCAAGGAGGAGCAAGTCACATCTTACATGGATGGCGGCAGGCAAAGAGGGAGCTTATGCAGGGAAACTCCCCTTTCTAAAACCATCAGATCTCATGAGACTTACTCACTATTGCTAGAATAGCAAGGGAAAAACCTGCCCCCATGATTCAGTTACTTCCCACCAGGTCCCTCCCACAACATGGGGGAATTCAAGATGAAATTTGGGTGGGGATACAATCAAACCATATCATTTCACCCCTGGCCCCTCCCAAATCTCATACCCTCACATTTCATACCCAATCATGCCTTCTCAACAGTCCCCTGAAGTCTTAACATATTTCAGCATTAGCTCAGAAATCCACAGTCCAAAGTCTCATCCAAGACAAGTCAAGTCCCTTCTGCCTATGAGCCTGTAAAATCAGAAGCAACTTAGTTACTTCCTAGGTACAATGTGGGTACAGGTATTGGGTAAATATACACATTCCAAATGGGGAAAATTGGCCAAAAGAAAGGGACTACAGGCTCCATGCAAGTCTGAAATCCAGCAAGGCAGTCAAATCTTTAAGCTGCAGAATGAACTCCTTTGACTCTATGTCTCACAACCAGGCCACACTGATGCAAGAGGTGGGTTCCCATGGTCTTGGGCAGCTCCACTCCTGTGGCTTTGCAGGGTACAGCCTCCCTCCCAGCTGCTTTCACGGGCTGGCATTGAGTGTCTGTGGCTTTTTCAGGCACACGGTACCAGATTTCATTGGATCTATCATTCTGGGGTCTGGAGGATGGTGGCCCTCTTCTCACAGCTCTGCTAGGCACTGCCCCAGTAGGGACCCTGTGGAGGCTCCAACCCCACATTTCTCTTCTGCACTGCCCTAGCAGAGGTTCTGCATGAGGTCCCCACCCCTACGGCAAACTTCTGCCTGGGCATCCAGGCGTTTTCATATGTCTGAAATCTAGATGGCGGTTCCCAAACCTCAATTCTTGATTTCTGTTCACTCGCAAGCTCAATACCACATGGAAGCTGCCAAAGCTTGAGGCTTGCACCCTCTGAAGCCACAGCTTGAGCTCTACGTTGTCCCCTTTCAGCCACTGCTGGAGCGGCTAAGATGCAGGGCACCAAGTCCCTAGACTGCACATAGCACAAGGACCCTGGTCCCGGCCCATAAAACCACTTTTTCCTCTTAGTCCTCCAGACCTGTGATGGGAGGGGCTGCTGCAAAGGTCTCTGACAGTCCTTGGAGACATTTTCCCCATTTTCTTGGGGATTAACATTCGGCTCCTTGTTACTCATGCAGATTTCTGCAGCCAGCTTGAATTTCTCCTCAGAAATTCTTTTCTATTTCTTTTCTATTGCATTTTCTTTTCTATTGCATTGTCAGGCTGCAAATTTTCCAAACTTTTACACTCTGCTTCCCTTATAAAACTGAATGCCTTTAACAGCACCCAAGTCACCCATTGAATGCTTTGTTGCTTAGAAATTTCTTCCACCAGCTATCCTAAATCATCTCTCTCAAGTTCAAAGTTATTGAACTCTCTAGGGCAGAGTCAAAATGCTGCCAGTCTCTTTGCAAAAACATAACAAGAGTCACCTTTGCTCCAGTTCCCAAGAAGTTCCTCATCTCCATCTGAGACTGCCTCATCCTGGACTTTATTGTCCATATTGCTATCAGCATTTTGGGCAAAGCCATTCCACAAGTCTTTAGGAAGTTCCAAACTTTCCCACATTTTTCTGTCTTCTTTTTAGCCCTCCAAATTGTTCCAACCCCTACCTGTTACCCAGTTCCAAAGTTCCTTTCACATTTTTGGGTATCTACAGCAGTGCCCCACTCTACTGGTACCAATTTACTGAATTAGTCTGTTTTCACACTATTGATAAAGACATACCCGAGACTCGGCAATTTACAAAAACATTAAAAAAAGAGAGACGTTTATTGGACTTACAGTTTCACATGGCTGGGAGGCCTCACAATCATGGTGGAAGGCAAGGAAGAGCAAGTCACATCTTACGTAGATGGCAGCAGGCAAAGAGAGAGTTTGTGCAGGGAAGATTCCCTTTTTACATCAGATCTCGTGAGACTTATTCACTATCACAAGAACAGCACAGGAAAATCCTGCCCCCATGATTCAATTACCTCCCACCAGGTCCCTCCCACAACATGGGGGAATTCAAGATGAGATTTGGGTGGGGACACAGCCAAACCATATCATCCTCATAACAAACATATGCAGTAGGTATAATTATTGTCTCTATTTCATAAGTGAGAAAAATGAGACACAGTTAAATGACTTGCTAAAGGTCACACAGCAAGCAGTTGTATAGCAGATTCAAACCTACAGTCTGGGTTCTTCTATAATAGTGAGAGTTAATAGTAGAATAAATACAAAGCATCATTCAGTAGATCATTCTGCGTGAATGCTATAAACTCACTAAGAATCATTTACATCAATATGTGTTACTTTCCAGTACTCCTTTTCTCTTAATAAGAATGTTGTTTCTGAACTTCCCAGTTACTATACCTTCCCTTCTCCCAAAGGTAATCACTATCCTGATTTCTAGCAAATGAATTATCTTTACTTCTTTTGAGCTTTATATCAACAGAAGCATTTTGGTGTCTTATGTTTTATTAAATATACAAGAATTGAGTTATCCATTCTTTTGTGGAAGGACATTTCAGTTGTTTTCAGTTTCAGGGTATTATCAATAATCGTGCAATGAGTAGTCTTGTACATGTCTTTTAGTGCACATATGTATGCATTCTTAGATTTCCACCTAATGGACAGGATAGACATGACTTAGAACTACCAAGTTGTGGAGTATGCAAGTGAATTCTGCATGCTAGAATCTGCCTTTCTCAAATAGATGTACCAATTTATATTCTCTTCAACATTTTATGAGAACTCTATTTTGCTTCACATTCTTACTGACAGTATTGTCAATCTTTTTCCATTTTAGTCATTTTGGAATGTAAATAGTGACAGCAAAATATGTTTTTAAGTTTTTTCATTGATTACAGGTGTTATTAAACATCTTTTCATGTCTTTATTAGCCATTGGGATCTCTTCTTTTGTGAAGTGCCTGTTTAAGTCTTTTCTACTTTTTAAGAATTAGATTACTTGTCTTTTTCTTATTTATTGGTAGGTATTTCTTATAAATTTTAGATATGAATCCTTTGATACATGTATCATCCATTTATTCTCCTCCTCGGTTGTTTGCCTTCTTACTCTCTTAAAAGTATCTTTGCTGAACAGAAATTCCTAATTTTAATGTATTGGCTTGTCAATCTTTCAGTTATAGTAAATATTTGTTAAGTGAATGATCTTGAAGGAGTTCAGTGTCAGCTACAAGAGATAATCATTGTAAAACATAAATTCTGTATCAAATTTATGTATAAAATATTTTAGACCAGGCGCGGTGGCTCACGCCTGTAATCCCAACACTTTGGGAGGCCGAGGCGAGGATTACGAGGTCAGGAGTTTTAGACCAGCCTGACCAACATGGTGAAACCCCATCTCTAATAAAAATACAAAAATTAGCCGTGCGTGGTGGCCTGTGCCTGTAATTGCAGCTTCTCAGGAGGCTGAGGCAGGAAAATTGCTTGAAACTGGGAGGCAGAGGTTGCAGTGAGCCAAGATCGCACCACTGCACTCCAGTCTGGGCAACATAGTGAGACTTCATCTCAAAAAATATGTATATATTTTAGATATGTATAAAATATTTTGGAACACAGAGGAAACAGTGACCAATTCCAACCAGAGTGTCAAGGAATTCTTCATGGAGAACATGATGGGAAGGACTTCTAAAGCAAAAGAAATATGAACAAATGTACTAAATGTAAATAAGCATTGTGGTTTTCAGAAGTTCAAGTGTGGCTAAAGTCAAGGGATTATTAATTCTATTTGCAGGAAATAAGAAGGTAAGTTAGGTTGGAGTCACATTTTAAAGGAGCTGTATGTTTTGGTCGGGGGCATAGTTTCTAAAGATTTTGAAGCAAAGGAAAGACATTTTCAGATTTGTTTCAGGGGATATACTGTTCTTATCAAAATGGATTGATAAGAGACAGAGACAGACCACTTAGTGTGCTTTATAGCAATCTAGGTGAATGATGATAAAAATAAGGCTTATGCCTGTGGCAACAGGAATGGAAAGTACTGGGGGTATATCACAGTGGTTAATAAAACAGGCTCTGCTCCTTAATAGGATTGTGACCTTATGTGTATCTTAACCATTCAGAGTTTTCCTAAATAATAATAATAATAATAATAAAACCTACTATTGTCATTACGAATATTAAATGTTTGTAAAGTACTTAGCAAAGTACTTACATAGTAAAGGAAAACTGTGTGATATGATTCAAATAGACTTCAGAAACAAGAAATACAAAAAAGATTAATTCAGGGTTTTCACTTAGACAGCTTCTTAAGAGTCCCAGTCCCTGAGTTAAGGAATTCAAAAGAAGCAGCATATTTTGGGGGAATAACGACTATTAGGAGTCTCTATGGCATACAAGTAACACCATACAACTGGAAATCTATTTGCTCCTCCAATTAAATAGTGTAGTCCTTATTTCTTATTTGTTCAGTGTTAATGATTTTCATCCCTTTTGTTTTCTCTTCTGGTACTATTCACTTAACTGAGAGTATGCTTTACTGTGTTATTCTCAGAATAAGAGCATCCCAGAGGATTCGTGGAAGAAATGCAACACTTTCGAGTATAAACTATCAAATAGCCAGGTTTTCTCTCTACTGTATTTGATCACCTAGTCCCTTATTTTTTTTAAAGCAGAACTTAGTATTACCATTGTATAATGTGGAGTAGGTAATTTTCCTCTCAAATCAGAACATTCTGATCTGGTAAAGCTAAGAGTTCTTGGCTCTCTTTGAAAAGATAGATTAAATCTACCTGTCTTTTTGCTATTTTTTGCTGCCTATAGATCAGTGTTATATTGTTCCTCTTACTAATTATTATATAATATATTTACACAGAAGTCTTGGCTAAAGTTCCATCAAATTATTATACTTCTTTAACCTTACTAAAATGAATTTCCTCCACTATTCTTTACATATAAATACATGTAATTTATATAGACATATGAAGTCTATAGTAACACCTATAGTACCAGTATTTCTTTACTACTGGAAAACTAAATCATAGTGACTATTATTAAAAATTACTTGAAAACCAGACCTCTGTATTCTCCATAGGGCTAAATATTAGTAAACTAAATAATAAAACTGTTTCCAGATTTTTTTTGTTAAAGATTTTTAAAGTATTAATAGAATTTAATTAATTACATAATATATATTATCCATGTCTAATTATTTGTCTAGCTATATTCATCATGGAAAAAAATGTTCAAAGGAAAATTGACATTATGTGTGAAACTTTGTCAAAAATATGTCATTGATGTTTGAGACAAGGTAATAAAACTATCACAGAAATTCTTCTTTTTCTTACTAATATATAATATTAATATGAAGATGTATTCTCACATCAAATTTTGGTATATACAGAAGTCAGTAGTAATATGATTTGGCCGAGTACCTTTGCTTTCATAATAGTTTTATAATCTTTGTGTGTGTGTATGTGTACATACAAAGAGGCACTTAATTTTTTAGTTCTTGTTATGTACCCAAATTTATATCAGATGCTTTCTGTTCTCATTTCCTTTCATTCTTCTAATGGTGGTCCATGTTTCAATAACTTGCCTATGAGCACAAAGCTAGTAAGTAGACTAAAACTGGAATGGGTACCCAAGTCTGTCTTACTCCCAAACCTATTCCTTTTCTGTTACCTCTGCTTCTACTTCCCTGCCTTACAGTCAGAAAATTTATAAAGGTAAACAGTTTGTCAATGTGAAAAACTAAAAGTAGTTTTTAAAGTATGCAGAATATTGTGCAGACTTAAAATCATTATAGTGAACTACATTTATTAATACAGATTGATTATTTATGACATATTGTCAAATTGAAAATGCAAATTAAAACATCCATGTGTGGAAACAATAAACCCTGGGGATTTCAGAAGCAGGGAGGAGCAGAGTAGGGACAAGGATTGAAAAACTACCTGTTGGGTACTATGTTCATTACTTGGGCAATGAGATCATTAGAAGCCCAAACCTCAGCATCATGCAATATACCCATGTAACAAACCTGAACGTGCACTCCTGAATCTAAAAATAAAACGTAAAAAAAGAAAGGATTTGTCATTCTTGAAAGGACAGAAAAAAATTCATGTGTGTGTATTTTTTTATGTATGAAAATATTTATGGAAGTATGGTCAACAAAGGTTTAAAATTGGTTGTCTAATAAAATGTTTGTGATTTTTAAATTTCCTTATACTTTTTTGTTGATTGAATTATTTTTGGTCTTTTTAGTAAGCATGTATTTTAAGAATCATAAAAATCACTTAAGACTACTCTTACATTCAGCAAAAAAAAAAAAAAGAAACAAAATATAAGAACAGGTTAAAATATAGAAAATGTATTTTTCACCAACTGTCATTTCTAGAACCTAGTTTACAATTGTATAACAGATGATACATTTAATTAAATCTCTTACATATAGTCATCCATTTTTTGCATATTGCATATTCTAGAGCAGTGAGTAAAATGGCTTGAATGCCAAACTCATGGATTTGGTACTACATTTTATTGACAAATAAAATAATAGGTGTTTAAGCTACTTTGAGAATAAGCTTCATTCCAGTATAATTGAATAGCTCCTATCAGAGCTCCTATCTGTATCACAAGTAACTATTATAAACTCTAAACCAAACAAAGAAACAATAACTATCTGAAAGCACTGGAGAGTGCTCTATAAAGTAGACAGATTCTACCATTTGGAAGAAGGCACTGGTTGATTATCCCATTCTTAAAACTTTTAGCCTGAGAGTAGGCCCCAATCTGGCCTAACTGGCAGCTAAAACCTGCTGGCTTCTTGGCTACAAGAATGGTTTGGGAAAACTATAGCTACATTAAAGTAAAAAGGGAAATCCTAGAAAGGAGAGAGCCAAAGAGGGGAGCCTGAAATTCTATAAATAAACTCCCTGTATTTCTGGCTGACCTCTGAGCCATGAATGAGCTGGGTAGACTACAAACAGCACAACTAGGGCTAAAGGGATTGAACTGAAATTTGAATTGCCATCCTCTGCATAGCAGAGTTTGCAGTTAGGTCTGCCGAAGTCACTGCTTACTAAAATTTAAAAAAATCAATATTATAACAAAATCCAGTGTCTATTCAACATATCACTCAGTGTCCAGCATATAGTCTGAAATTATTTCACAAAGAAACAAGTGAACATGACCCATTCTTGCGAGAAAAGATAATCAATTGAGACTAACCCCAAGATGACCCACCTATTGTAATTAACAGACAAAAATTCTAAAGCAGCTTCTATAATCATAATCAAGCAGTAAAGGAACATATGCTTGTAATGAGTGAAGAGATAGGAAATCTTAGCAGAAAAAAATAGAAACTATTGAACCAAATAGAAATTTAAGAAGTGAAAAAGAAAGTAGCTGAAAAGTGTTTTCAGGGTATCTTCTTTAAATTTAAGACCCCACCTGAGCCAGTGAAATCATTTAGTAAATATATAGCATCATTAAATAAAACTACTAATCCAGCTCTATAAAGCAGGTTGAATTGGCTTTCAAACCAACAAAATTTATTCCTACTTATTTGTGTTTGGGAAGTTTTTACATTGTTTGCTGTTGGAACATATTAATGTATCCATGCATGTTGAAATTATATGTAGAATGAAAGGAAAATTAGAAATATTCAAGATTTTACTCTGGAAAATTATCTTTGACTACAAGAGAGAAACTGCACTGAAGATAATTATTTTAGCTTAGCATTTTTTATGGGTTATACAGTATCAATTTAATAGTAGATAGCAGAATAGCTAGTTTAAGAGTTCTATAAACTACCCTCACTGACAGTCTGATTCCTTTATATAATTTTTTTTACTGAAGTCAAAGTTATAATATTAGGGAAAAGTACCATTTCTAATCAAATATTTATACCACGTTTAATTTTTTGTGTATGTTTTGCTAATAGTGCCTACTATAAACTCAAATTAATAACTTTTATAATTATTTTATAGTTGAATTCAAACAAATGACAACAAAAACACTAAAAGAATGGTTTGCAGGGGCAAGGGCAAGATGGCCAACTAGACACAGACAAGTGGAACAGCTCCCATGGAAGTACTGAGACAACAGGCATGCTTTTAACAGATCTTTACAGGGAAGGCATCAAGAGTGGACCAGGAGAAGACATAGAAGCTGGGCTAAAGGAAGAGAAAGCTGGGAACGCTGCATGGACTTTTGTGCACCAGGACTCATTTTTGAACCACAACAGCTCCAGGAGCATGGGTGAGTTGAACTGGCAAGGAGCAACCCGCTCTCACCATGGGCCTCTGGAACCCCAGCAGGAGGGGACCCCTCAACCACCACAGACACGTGAGGTGGCAGGGAGAGTTACTTAGGGAAGTCTTAAGGGCAGCAAGCCAGCTGATGTGGAGCCCAGAGGGTTTGGTGCAGAAGTAACTGTAGTGGAGCATGGCCAGGGACAGCCATCCCCCTAGACTTCACTTGCTCCCATAAGAGACTTTAGTCCTAGGAGAACTGTTGGACCTGATCTGTCCAGGGAAGTCTTGCGCAACAGACAGGGCTGGTCTGACCTGAGCCCTCCTTGGTCTGCTGGCCTGTCCTGGGGCCCTAGCCTGGTCATGCCTGCTGGCAGGGCAGTCTTGAGGTCCCTGGGTACCCACGCCGTAGCTTCAACACTGATGGACCATGCCTGACCAGTAGAGAGTTTCGATGAGGCATCCCTATGGCCACGCACCAGCCTGCACGCTCCCTCCCCAGCCTGTGCAGCTTTCCTAGACCCATGGCACTCCCCACATCACTTTGCTGATGCATGTCTACACAGGTGGCTTTTGCTTTACTTGCCCAGCCAGCACACAGGAACGCAGTCTGCCCTCCTCCCTTGCTGACCACCATTGCAGACACCCTTGGTAAGCACAGAGCTGGCAAGTCTCACTCCTGCCAGCACCCCACCCTTGCACTAACATTGCACAGAGAACAGCAGATCATCCCACACCCTGAACAATCACTCTTATTTGAGGGGCACAGAGAAGGCACCCAGATCTATGATGGTCAGCACCCTGCCCCCAAGCCAACACCACCTCCAGTGCAACAGCACAGTCTCTAGCAAGGGCCCCCCATCCCCCACCAGCTGTGTTGCCTCCACCACTATGGTGAACACCTGCAGGGAGGCAGGCACCCCTGCATCTGTTAGCACTCTTCTGCAGATGCTGCACCTCAGAACCCCAGCACAATGGACTGAACCTCAAAGAGGTCAAACTGGGGCCCAATGCAAGTCCCCCAGAGTTAGAGCACACAGTCCAGGAGTTGGGAGCTGAGCATTGGCCTCCTAAAATGTTCCAAAAACAAGATTGGATTCTTCCAGTCAGCTGAATGCATCTTATACCATAATCAAACCCTCAAGGTTATCAAATAGGATAAAAGAAAAAAAATCCAAAGGTCAGCAACCTCAAAGATTGAAGATAGATAAGCCCACAAAGATGAGAAAGAATCAGTGCAAGAATGCTGAAAACTCAAAAAGCTAGAGTACCTTCTTTCTTCCAGATGACCACACCATCTCTCCAGCAAGGGTCCAGAACATGGCTCAGATGGCTGAAATGACAGAAATAGAATTCAGAATATGGGTAGAAATGAAGATCATTGAGCTACAGGAGTATGTTGAAACTCAGTGCAAAGAAAGTAAAAATCATGATAAAACATGGCAGGAGTTGACAGACAAAATAGCCAGTACTGAAAAGAACATAACCAACATGATAGAGCTGAAAAACACACTGCAGGAAGTTCATAATGCAATCACAATTATTAATAGCAGAATAGAACAAGCTGAGGAAAGAATCTCAGAGCTTAAAGGCTGGCTTTCTGAAATAAGACAGGCAGACAAGAATAGAAAGGGAAAAAAAGTATGGAAGGGAATGAACAAAACTTCCAAGAAATATGGGATTATGTAAAGAGATTGAATCTGCGACTGATTGGTGTCTCTGAAAGAGATGGGGATAATGGAACCAACTTGGAAAACATGTTTCAGGTATCATCCATGAGAACTTCCCCAACCTAGCTAGAGAGGCCAACATTCAAATTCAGGAAATGCAGAGAACTCTAATAAGATACTTCACATGAAGATCATCCCCAAAACGTAATCATCAGATTCTCCCAAGTAAAAATGAAAGAAAACATGTTAAAGGCAGCTAGAGTGAAAGGTCAGGTCACCTACAAAGGGAAGCCCATCCAACTAACAGCAGACATCTCAGTTGAAACCCTACAAGCTAGAAAGGACTGGGGCCCAATATTCAGTATTCTTAAAAAGAATTCCAATCCAGAATTTCATATCCATCCAAACTAAACTTCATAAGCAAAGGAGAAACAAGATCCTTTTCAGACGAGCAAATGCTAAGGAAATTTATTACTACCAGACCTACCTTACAAGAGCTCCTGAAGGAAGCACTAAGTGTGGAAAGGAAAGACCATTACCAGCCACTACAAAAACACATTGAAGTCCACAGATCAGTGACACTAGAAAGCAACCACATATGTCTGCAAAGTAACCAGCTAACATCATGATGACAGGATCAAATCCACACATATCAATACTAACCTTAAATGTAAATGGGCTAAATGCCCCAATTAAAAACACAGAGTGGCAAGCTGGATAAAGAACCGAGACCCATTGATATGCTGTCTTCAAGAGACCCATCTCACATATACAATGGCATACACTGGTTCAAAAAAAAGGGATGGAAACAAATCTACCAAGCAAATGGAAAACAGAAAATGCCAAGGGTTGCAGTTCTACTTTCCGACAAAACAGACTTTAAACCAACAAAGGTTAAAAAAGAAAAAGAGGGGCATTAGGTAATGGTAAAAGGTTCAAATCAACAAGAAGATCTAAATATCCTAAATATATATGCACCAACACAGGAGCACCCACACTCATAAAGTAGGTTCTTAGGGACCTTCAAAGACACTTAGACTCCCACACAATAATAGTGGTAGTCTTTAACACCCCACTGACAATATTAGATCACTGAGAAAGAAAATTAACAAATATTCAGGTCCTGAACTCAGCCCTGAGTCAAATGGACCTGATAGATATCTACAGAACTCTCCACGTAAAAACAACAGAATTTACATTCTTCTTATTGTCACATGGCATATATCCTAAAATTGATCACATCATCAGAAGTAAAACGCTCTTGAGGAAATACAAAAGAACTGAAATCATAACAAACAATCTCTAGGACCACAGTGCAATCAAATTAGAAATTAAGACTGAGAAATTTACTCACAACTCTACAATTACATGGAAACTGAATAACCTGCTCCTGAATGACTGTTTGGTAAATAATGAAATTAAGGCAAAAATCAATAAGTTCTTTGAAACTAATGTGGACAAAGATACAACATACCAGAATCTCTGGGACACAGATAAGGCAGTGTTAAGAAGGAAATTTATAGCACTAAATGCCATCAAAAAAGTTAGAAAGATCTCCAGTTAACAGTCTAACATCACAACTAAAAAGAACTAGAGAACCAAGAGCAAACAAATCCCAAAGCTAGTGGAAGACAAGTAATAACCAAAATCAAAGCTGAACTCAAAGAGATTGAGACAGAAAAAATGTCTTTTGTAATGGATGAGTATAAGGCTCCAGATAGATACAGAGAATGATGACTTATGTAAACTTACTCTCTCTTAGCTCTATTACTGTCCCTGTTTTTCTGTTTGATGAGTTGTTTACTCTTTGGCAATAATTTTGCTAAAAATTTCTGTAATCATGTTTTTTATTGTTAAATAATGTAAATGTAAAGAAAACATTATATATTTATAAATACATGTAGTATTTCCGAAAGTTTTCTTAAAAAGGGTATACGATCTCTAATAACACCATAATATACTGATCTATTATGTTAATATACTGATCTATTATTAATTTGTTCATATCTCTGATGTCTGTAACATCAAGCACATTTGTCATGGTTTTTAAAATAATATATATGTGTGTTTGTGTATGTGTATACATATATATATGACACATGCTGGGCATAGTCATTGCACATACTAGGTATTTGCATGTTTCTTAAACTGAAAATTAACTTATATAATCATATTCTTAAGACTTTGTGCCAATTTATTTAAATATAATACATCAAGCTTACCTTTAGAACTATTTTGAAGCTTTTTATAAAAGATAAACTTATCACTAATGAAATATAAATTGGAAATAGTCAGAAAAAGAAGAGGATGCCAAAATGTTAACTGTGAAACTAGTTGTTTTTGTATTGTATTGTTACATTAAAAACCACCACAAAATGTGGTGGCTTTAACACATATAGTGATTTGTTATTTTTCACAAGTCTGGGCTTTCTGAGTGGGAATATTTTCTCATGTCATTATTTCAGCCACATGAGTCTAAGGTCACTCATGTAGCTGAAATAATGTCACCTCAGTTGGGTCTGGAGAATCTAAGCCTCACTCAGATGTGTAGGACCTTGGTGCTGGATATTCCACTAGACCTTTCTCTCCAAATGGTCACCCATCATTCCCTTGTCTAGCCCAGCCTTCCTGACATGGTAGTAGAAGTTTACCAAAGAGTGAAGACAGAAGAATGGAAACCTTTTGAAACCTAGGCTTCAGAACAGCCATACCATGACTTATTGCCCCATTCCATTGATCAAATCAAGTCAGAAATCCAGCCCAGTTGCAAGGGTTGTAGAAATAGACCCCACCTCCTGACAGGAGGATTTACAATGACTGTATGACCATATTTAATTTACCACAGTAGTATATGTGTAATTATTAAGTATAAAATTTATTTCTAAACTTACTGACCATGAGTACTAAGTATCAGAATGAAGAATGAATAAATGTTTATAATCCCTCTTTTTTTTAACTTTAAATTGAAGTTTAGGGGTACATGTGTAGAATGTGTAGGTTTTTTACATAGGTAAACATATGTCATGAGGGTTGGTTGTACAGATTATTTCATCACCAGGTATTAAGCCTAGTACCCATTAGTTATATTTCCTGCTTCTCTCCCTCCTCTCACCCTCCACCCTTCAACATGCCCCACTGTGTGTTGTTCCCCCATGTGTTCTCATCATTTAGCTTCCACTTCTTAGTCACAACAAGTGGTATTTGGCTTTCTGTTCCTGCATTAGTTTGCTGAGGATAATGGGATCCAGCTCCATCCGTGTCCCTGCAAAGAACATGATCTCATTGTTTTTTGTGGCTGCATAGTATTGCATGGAGCATAGGTACCACATTTTCTTTATTCAGTCTGTCATTGATGGGCATTTGGGTTGTTCCCATGTCTTTGCTATTGTGAATAGTGCTACAATGAACATACATGTGCATGTGTCTTTATAATATAATGATTTATAATCAATTGGGTATATACTCAGTAATGGGATTTCTGGGTCGAATGGTATTTCTGTCTGTAGGTCTTTGAGGAATCGCGACACTGTCTTCCACAATGGTTGAACTAATTTACCCTCCCACCAACAGTGTAAAAGTGTCCCTTTTTCTCCACAACCTTGCCAGTATCTGTTATTATTTGACTTTTTAGTAATATTCTGACTTGCATGAGATGATATCTCGTTGTTTTGATTTGCATTTTGCTAATCAGTGATGTTGAGCTTTTGTTCATATGCTTATAGGACACATGTATGTCTTCTTCTGAGAAGTGTCTGTTCATGTCCTTTCCCCACTTTTTAATGGGTTTTTTCCCTGTAAATTTATTTAAGTTCCTTGCAAATGCTGGATATTAGACCTTTGTCAGATGCATAGTTTGCAAAAGAATTGTCTCCCATTCTGTAGGTTGTCTGTTTACTTTTTTGATAGTTTCTGTTGCTATAAAGAAGCTCTTTAGTTTAATTAAATCCCAGTTGTCAATTTTTGCTTTTGTTGCAATTGCTTTTAGTTTCTTTGTCATGAATTCTTTGCCCATGCCTATGTCCTAAATGGTATTGCCTAGGTTGTCTTCCAGGGTGTTTATAGTTTTGGGTTTTATATTTAAGTCTTTAATCCATCTTTAGTTAATTTTTGTATATGGTGTAAGGAAGGGGTCCAGTTTCAATTTTCTGCATATGGCTAGCCAGTTCTCCCAGCACCTTTTATTGAATAGGTTGTTGCTTGTTTTTGTCATGTTTTTCAAAGATCAGAGAGTTGTAAGTGTGTGGTCTTATTTCTGGGTTCTCTGTTCTGTCCCCATTGCTTGTTTTTGTCAGCTTTGTCAAAGATCAGACAGTTGTAGGTGTGCGGTCTTATTTTAGGGTTCTCTATTCTGTTCCATTGGTCCATGTGTCTTTTTGTGCCAATATCATGCTGTTTTGGTTACTGTAGCCCTATAGTATAGTTTGAAGTCAGGTAGTGGGATGCCTCCAGCTTTGTTTTTTTGTTTTTGTTTTTTGCTTTTGTTTTTGTTTTTTTGCTTAGGACCACGTTGGCTATTGAAATCCCTTTATTTTTTTAATGATACATACAAATTACAAAGAATTCAAACAAGGCAAAAATGTAAAAAGGCAGTAAAAAAATAAAATGTACTTCAAAGCTAACTACCCAAGAGTAATAAATATTTAACATTGTTTATAAAACATTCCAACATCTTTCACTGCTTATTATGTAGCTAGAAGAATGTATGGATGTTTAAATGAGTGAAAGACATAGCTATTTAAACAATTAGGATAATTTTCTGAAGCTAATATATAGTAGCATTTATTTACACTTAAGCAGAAGAAAAGGGAACTGAGTAAAAGAGCCTATTGACTTTGAAATAACTGTTTTTTATTAGAAGAGATATTATATGCTGAAATCCCTCTAAATTTTAAAAAATAGGAAAGTCATTAATAGGTTACAGTCATATGTTAACTATATGTTAAACCTTAGACAGGATTGGTTGAATCCTTGCTATGAAAGATAAGGATATTTGCACTATTACATTTCTTCCCACCTACCCTCTCCTTACCTTCCAATTTCTGTTTATTATATGATTTTCAGAAAAAAACTGATAAAACAATATCCAGTCCTCAAACTAGTGCTTATTTCAAACTTGTTGCAGAGATGTAGGAAGAAAAACAAAAAGTCAGCCCAGACTGTATCAGATCTGGAACTTGCACAGAAAAAAAATAGGGGAAGCAAGAAACCAGAGACAACATATAGTCTTTGTTGGAATACTCTGCTCTTCTGAAATTTTATTAATGTCCAGTGCTAGAATCTTTCTTCCTAGATAAGGGTTTAGCTCATCATTATGTGAGGACTGTCATCAAGTTTAAGATTAGTTTTCCATTTCAGTGTGCCTTCGTTTCTAGAATCTTCATCTTGAATGCCATGAGCCCTCCATTGCATGTTTCTTATAGAAGCTGCTTACAATAAGAAAAAGATATGGAGTCTCTTTTAGTTTGCATCTCTGTAGATTTAGAGGTATTCATGAGAATTTTTAAGATTTTGAGAATTCACCATTATGACCTCTTTGGAGTCCAGAGTAGCATTAGGAGCCTCAAAATGGAGAACTGTGTGTCTCAAAGATCTTTTGTTTCTGTCCTTAACCATCCAGCTTTTGAGACTTACGAAGCTATGTTGTTTGCTTATTTGGTTGTTGCTTGTGGAGGTTTTTCCTCTAGTTTTTACTCTTTTATGTTGATTTTATGACATATTAGGAGGGGGATTTTTGTGATACACCTTTATTCTACTAAAGATGAATGGAATGGAATACTAGAAATGCAAGGCAATAATTTTTTAAAGAAATATCCTCCACATAAGGAAAAGTTAATCACTAAAATAAACAATGTCCTCAGCCTCACTTTTGCAACAGATGCAGAGGGACTTTTCATAAGTTGCTTTCATGAAAAAATCTTCAATGACCTCTTATTTGGTAGAGGCAGCTGAATATTAAAGTTTTGTCAGAATAAAGTGGATCTAACAGGTGCAGAAACAAATATGGCAAGATAAATTGCTTTCTAACTAAGCTAAGATAAATTACTAAGTTAAATAAGATAAATTTAATAAGTTGGTACAGTAAATAGCTAAGATAAACTGCTTTTTAAACATGATAGAATAAAAAGACTCAGTATCTAATGTGGCACATAGTTCAGTTTAATATGTATACATATATCACCTTGAGGTATCTTTCTTAAAATGCAGCTTCTGATTCAGTAGATCTTGGATGGAACTTCAAATTGTGTATTTCTAATTCCGTGACACCACTGGTGCCAGTTCTCAGATCATACTTTTAGTAACAAGATTCTAGACAACTATAGACTAAGAGCTCCTCTACTTGACTGAATCCTTGAGACCAGAGATACTGCCTTATTTATCTTTGCATTGCTGTTCTCTAAGGAAGTACCTGAATAAAAGTTTGCCCTGAAATATTTTCTTGTTAAATGAATTAATGAATCAGATGCATGACAACTAGGGGCCTGGAGAACTGGTATTCTATACTGGTGGGTGAGGAAGAATTCTTTTGTTTTGAAAACCAAGTGACTGAATGATAGGATTTCTATTTTGTCTTAAAATCTAAAAGCCTTACTAAAATTTTTGCTCACATGAAGTCTGCCATATATCACATTAGCTACTTTGGCCAACAAAATATTACCTCCCAAATGCTTGAATAGATTCTTAATTGCTCTCAAGATAACAAATGTTATTCAAGTGAAAGAAATCTATATATTAAGTGTTACCAGTTATCCATCCTGGAAATAGAAAAACTTTAGTAATATTACTGTAATAAAACTGATTTTTGTTTGTTTGTTTGTTCGAGACGGAGTCTTGCTCTGTTACTCAGGCTAGAGTGCAGTGGCACATTCTCGGCTCACTGCAACCTCTGCCTCCCTGGTTCAAATGATTCTCCTGCCTCAGCCTCCCGAGTAGCTGGGATTAGAGGCACCCACCACCGTGCCCGGCCAATTTTTGTATTTTTAGTAGAGACGGCGTTTCACCATCTTGGCCTGGGTGGCCTCGATCTCCTGACCTCATGATCCACCCACCTCGGCCTCCCAAAGTGCTGGGATTACAGGCGTGAGCCACTGCGTCCAGCCAACTGATTTTAAACTGTATGAAATCTTTTTGGGCCTACCCAACTATCTGTGAAATTTACCCTTGAGTAATTGAACAGATCGTCTCCTTAGACTAGTAGTTTTCAGTTGCTGGCTACATTTTAGAATTACCTGGGAAGCTTTTAAAAATCCCAGTCAGTGCCCAGGCTATACCAAAGAGGTGAGACCCAAGTATTTTTTAAAGCTCCGCAGATAATTCCATTGTGCACCCAAGGATGAGAACCATTACTTGACTATTAGCTCTTTGAAATCTGAGTCAGTGTTCCTCTTATTTTTAACTTTTAACACTTAATACATGGTAGGTACTTCATAAATGTTTACTTAGTCAACAGATGAATTATGTTATAAGGAAGTATTATCTGAGGCAAAACAGGAGCATTCTTCAGTATAAAGGGACCATTTTTACTATGTTTATTAGCATCTTAAAATTTGAAAAGTTTGAATACCCTCTTAATGTTAATACTGAAAGTTGGTATTTGATATAGATAAACATTTTGGTGTTGAGATATTTTGTTGATGCAACTTGGATTTCATATCACTTTTTATCAAGATTTGATATAAATGGATTGTGATCAGAGGTGAGAAAACTGTGGCACAGGCATTTCACTACCGTAATGGAAGTACTTAAAGGAATGTTACAAAGAGATCTAAGGTGTTCTAGGATACATCAGTCGGAAAACAAAGATGGTTAATCTACACATTGCTGAGTTGTGGTATCAACCGTGGTTTTGTTTTTTGTTTATTGTTTTCTTGAGACAGAGTCTCATTCTGTCACCCAGGCTGGAGTGCAGTGGCGCGATCTCAGCTCACTGCAACCTCTGCCTCCCAGGTTCAAGTGATTCTCTTGCCTCAATCTCCTGAGTAGCTGGGACTACAAGCGCGCTCCACCATGCTTGGCCAATTTTTGTACTTTTAGTAGAGATGGAGTTTTGCCATGTTGGCCAGGCTGTTCTCAAGCTCCTGACCTTACGTGATCCACCCGCCTCGGCCTCCCAAAGTGCTGGGATTACAAGCATGAGCCACTCACCCAGCTGGTTTTTTTATATACCAGAAAGAATAGAGAGCTATTTATAAGAGTGAGTATTTAAGCTTTTCTGCTTTTTAAAATGAAGCACAGACAATTGAAGTTTTAACTTCGGTTTATGAAACCACTTTATAAGCACCTGTATTATAATAATCATTGATTTTTGAGGGGCTTTCCTCAGAACAAAATTATAACTATATCTGGGATCAAAGTTCTTTAGATGGGCTCTCAGTTATCTACAATTTATGTTTTTAAAAATAGTTTGTTGCCATTAATTAATCATTGCACAGAAAAGTTCCCTTCATTTGGAGCTCTGAGCTCTGCATTTCTGTGATACCAGAATAAAACACAAACTGAAAAAAAAGGGAAAAAATCATTTTTTAGGTCTTGGATTTATTCTAAATAATCATCCTACATTTTGTGTCACTGATGAATTTGAGAATTGTGGGGACCGTATTGTACATCTCGGTATCAGCCTGCTATTTGTATTTCACAACAGTTATCGGCAATTAAATGATGAAATTCTATTTTTAAATTTTGACTCTGAATTATAAAAACGTAATGAAACAATGTAATACCAATGCAAGTATATGATTATAATTTAATGAGCACTTAATTGCCCTTTTTAGCAAATAGCTAAAATGTAGAATGGGTTGATAGAATTAGCAAGAATAAGAAAAGTCAGCAGATGGAGATCCTAGTTTCACTTTGTTATAAACTAGGTGTGTAATTTTGTAAATTATTTAAGCACATTGTACTTCAGTTGTCTCTTTAGAAAATAAAGAGGCAAATCTGCTAAAGACCCTTCTAGCTCCAAAATTTTATGACATGTAATTCTAATCTCTATAACTGTCATAGTAGTGCATTTTGAATGGCTGAAAAGAACTTCAGATAAGCCATTAATTATAAACTCTTTATTTACGGTTTTCTTATGTTTTATTTACTTTCAAGAATTTGATACTTGCATCCTCATTTTCTATAATTAATAAAATAAGTACTCAAAATTTCAGTGCCTTTTGATCAAGAGTGAAACTGTTCCATGAATTGTGCTTAGAAATTTTCTTACTGACTGTTGAAAAGAATCTGTGTTTCCTCGTTGAATACAAAGTGTCCTAGGACTGGGATGTTTTGAGCAAGCAGGCAAATTTTTCTGCACATGACTATACTATTGTTTTCTTTCAGGAAACCCTGATAGATTGGTGTGATGAAAAGGAACTTAATTTGATATTAACAACTGGAGGAACAGGATTTGCACCACGAGATGTCACTCCAGAGGTGAGATAGTACATGCCTTTTCATATTCAAGGATTAAACTAATCATGGTTTTTTTAATCCTTTTTACTATATTTATATTATTTTTATAACTTTGCTAGGCATAACAAATGACTTGTAGTTCTAATAATGTGAAAATTTTGCTGTGGATGAATTGTGAAAAATGTTTCCTGACTTTTTTTCTTTGGGCTTAAACTAGAAGTGATAGAATATGAGGAAGATTAAACTGGTCCAGAGGTAATCTGTCATTTTCTTGATGTCAGCCTAATTTCAGGCACATTTCCAAAGGAAGTGATAGCAGAATTCTGATGGTTAGCATGGCATCTGGTCTGATGTGCTTTGTCAATACAATTCTTTTCTTGAGGTACCCTTTTCATTTGTCTAAAATTACAGTAAGATGACTGCAATAGAATATACTGATTTTACAGTACTTTTGTTGAAAAGGGATATATTTTCCACAATTCTAAATGTGAACAGCATTTAAATGCAGAATTTAATGAGCCCAAAAGTAGAATTAATATCTAGGCTTAAGACCACAGGAAGCATCTTCAACTATTTTATATATAGGAAGAAAAATTAGGGAAAGAATGAAGAATAAGCACTATTAACTAATATGGGGGGGGATGTATTTTTTCTTTAAGGAAGCCATAAACCACAGATGTCACCTCAGAGCTATACATAAAATTACATCACCACTTGTGACATTGTTTCCTTTACCTACCCAACCCCCCAAAAGTGTTTCTTGGATCAGTTTCAACTTAATATTTACTATGTCTTTCTATTTCAAATCAGTACACTATTGTATCTACTACCTTATTAACATTCCACAAGGTACTTTTGCTCTGCATCTATTAAATAATTACTGGCCTTCTTATAATAGTACAATGGTTTTCAAACGTTAGCCTGCATCAGAATCAATCAGAGGACTTATTAAAACACAAATTGCTTGACCCCCCACCCCTAGAGTTTCTGATTTAGTAAAGCTGCAATGGGTCTTGAGAATCTGTATTTCTAACAAGGCCCCAGGTGATGCAGATGTTGTCGTTGTTGTTGGACCATAGACCATATTTTCACTATATGAAAATGCAATTTTAAGAATTATTTTTTTTCTATTCCTCTATATAAAAACCGTGGTACATAAACTTTTGATATTATTATAATTAGGGTTTTAAATAAAATAGTTTTGGCTTTTAAAGCAATCAAAATCGAGTCGTATTGAGAGGTTAACTTCAACTGCATAAAGTCATCCTTACACAATTTATTTAGCTTCTGGCTTCTATAGTTAGTGGTTCTTTGGCAAAGTTTTACATTTCTTTTATGCTATGACTGACTGAAAAAGTACAATTGGGAAGGAAGCCATCTCCTGCAGAGGTGTGCTTGTGTTTTGTTTCTTTGTAAGAACATTGACTACTTATGTTAAGATATGGATTTTTGGAGTTTGGGTGCTGTCTTAAGTGTTTTAGTAAATCACTTTGCGTTTATGTATGCCTATTTTTTGTGTGATGGTTTGATATTTTCATATTTTTTCATAACAGAAAAATAGAAAAAATTTCACCAGAAAATTAATTCATAACCAAATAACAGTATTATTTTTAATTCCTTGGATAATTGATCGTGGGGAAATAATTTACATCACAAAATGTTTTGTATCCTACTGGGCTTTCAGTTAATACAAAATGCTAGGCTGAAAATTCAAACCTTTGAATTCTGGCTCTGCTACTTATCAACAAGGTGACCATAGACGGAGTGCTTTTACTCACACTTCTGATGCTAAATGTGGGTTTTTTTACTCGAACCAGCCAGTTCTTCAACTCTCCAGATATCAAATGTCCTTCTTTTTATTTCAATTAAATTCTGACACTACCTACCAGGAATTAGTACTAGACTCTGCAGATTTAAGGGCTGTGTCCACAAGATTGCCTTCACGTCACATGCCAGTGGCAAGTACCAGATCCCCAGGCTAGTCAAAATTCTGTCCTACTTGACTACAAAGTCAGTTGGTTCCCAAACCGCGTCCCCCACCCCACTCTGCATTTTCAGATTCACTAATTTGCTAGAATAGGTCCAAAACCTCCTGGAAACACTTTACTTATGCTTACCAGTTTACTATAAAGGATACAATTTAGGAATAGCCAAATGCAGGAGATGCACAGGGCAAGGTATAGGGGCAAGGAGGTTCCATCCCCTCTCAGTATTTAGCGCCCCTCCGGCACCTTGATGTGTTCATCACTCTGGAAGCTCTCTGAATCCCATTGTTCCAAGATATTTTATGGAGCTCAGTCTCCAACCTCACCCCTCAGTGAGTGGAACTGAAAATTCCAATGCTCATAATAACTTAGTCTTTCCAATGACCAGACCAGCCCCATCCTGAGGCTATCTAGGCACCCACCCTAAGTCGTCTCATTAGCATAAACTCAGGTGTGATCTGAAGAGGTTTGGGCCTGGCATGGTGGCTCACACCTGTAATCCCAGCACTTTGAGAGGCCCAGGCGGGTGGATCAGTTGAGGCAAGGAGTTCAAGACAAGCCTGGCCAACAAAGTGAGACCATGTCTTTACTAAAAATACAAAGAATTAGCTGGGCATGGTGGCACACGCCTGTAATCCCAGCTACTTGGGTAGCTGAGGCATGAGAATCACTTGAACCTGAGAGTAGAGGTTTCGGCGAGCAGAGATCACAACATTGCACTCCAGCCTGGGTGACAGAGGGAGACCCTGTCTCAAAAAAAAAAAGGCGGGGTGAGGGGGGTGCAGAGGTTTGTTAGGAATAACAAAAGGCACTCTGTACTGCTATCACTCAGGAAATTCCCAAGGGTTTTATGAGTTCTATAATAAGTCAGGAACCAAGAAGAAAGACCAAATGTATTTTTATCTTATACCTTAATAGACTAGTCATTTAACCACTCTGTGCCTTAGTTTTCTATAAAGCGAGGGAAATAAAAGCACCTATTTACCAAGGTGGCTGTGACCGTTCAGTGAGAACTATTCCTGGTATTTTATGTAAGAGTTAATTTATAAGAGTTAATTTTTTTTATTTGTTGCTATGTAACTTATGTAACTACCAAATGGACACATTTGATAGTTTTTCTTTTTTGCATGTAATACCAGATAGACAACTATAGCCTTTTACTTGTTTTGAAGTATGTCCATGAAGTCTTTAGAATCTTGTTAAATTATTTCTTAATTTTGGTAGGGTAAGCTTCATATTTGATCTCTTCCATCTCTATATTATATAAATCAGAAATCTTGAATTTCTGCTATTCTAGTATCTAGGTTTTGTTTCTTTTCTTTTTTGGCACTACTAGTTGACAAGTGTCTGTTTCCATGGCATTGTATATTTCATTATTCAGAAATTGAGCAGTATTTTATTCTTAAAGTTTTTCAGTTATTTGAAAACTATTGAGGTGCTCTTATATTCATATATACCTATAGCAGCTACATAGTTAAAATTATATTAGAGGTTTCTTAAATGGATTTAAAATATACATAAATATGTCTTCTCTAATACCTGTTTTTGAAAAGAAGCAATTTACCTGATTGTGAATAACTTGATCTTTAATAGGTTCACTTCATATTTTATATGTATATATAAATACATATGATATGAATATCTATGGCAAAAGTTTGTAGCAGTCGTGGGCTATTAAATAATACTAATAAAATAAATAATAAATAAGCAAACATAAAATCAATATAGGCCCACTAAAAAGTAATTCTACTAATTTCCCTTTTACTTTACATCGTAGAGTAGTTGCAGTTCTTATAATATCTAACGTATAATATTGATGTGTCAGAAAGGAATTTAGAAATATAATCCTCGCTGAATTATATACTGATTTGTCTGTTTTGATAGTTGTATCTAAAGAGAAGAAGCTGTTTCTAGACACATTTACCTATATTATATACATCAGGATTGCCAATATTTTTAAATGAGGTCAGAAGTTATTGGTAGAAAGCACAAATACTAATTTGATAAAAGTAAAACAATGTAAAACTTCTCCCTTAAAATCCTAATAATGCTTTATAGTCGATGATTGTCAGTAATTAGCTTAATCTGTAAAGCACAAAGCAAAATTGTTTGTGGATGTGTGTGTTGTAAGAAAAAAAATGAAGGATGAAAATGATGAATAGGATGAATGAAAAAAAACAATCCAAAGATTTTGTCAATGGGTATGAGCTCTAGATAAAATGAAAAATTTAATCAACAGATTTCTCTCCAGGTCTATTAAAAATGAGAATAGAATATCAAGTATAGTAAAGTTTATCTTCTTTATTATATATTTTATAGGAATAGGGCTATCAGAATTGATTTTCCTAAATTATGAATTTGTTTATATTTTTAGGCCCTGCATCATAGAATATGGTTCATCTGATACTTGCATGCCTTCTAGCCTTCTCCCTGCCTCTAAATATGAGATGCTATCAAAACTTACATATGAAAGCATGATAATTCTCACTCATCAACTTTTTAGAATTTTGTCTTGATAATAAAAACTGGTTTTTAATAATAGATTGCTTGCCTTTTTTTTTTTTTTTTTTTTTTTGAGACAGAGTCTCACTCTGTAACCTAGGCTGGAGTGCAGTGGCATGATCTCAGCTCACTGCAACCTCCACCTTCCACGTTCAAGCAATTCCTGTGCCTCAGCCTCCTGAGTAGCTGGAATTACAGGCGTGCACCACCAAGCCCAGCTAATTTTTATATTTTTAGTAGAGACAGGGTTTCGCCACATTGGCCAGGATGGTCTCAAACTGCTGACCTCAAGTGATCTGCCTGCTTCGGCCTCCCAAAGTGCTGAGATTACAGGCATGAACCACTGTGCCTGGCCAGATTTCATTTTTTTCTGGTCCGATAAAGGTTGGATAATTCATTGGCACTAGTGAAATATTAGTAATTATAAAGTTCCACAGATTATGAAACTCATTTCTATACAAAGTATTTTCCCTTTATGTCCCATTATTACTTCAAAGCAATGTATGTCCAAAAAAGGTATTATTACATAAAGGATCTGTGTTTGATAATATAGTAAATTAGAAAATGTTAAACTGTTAAATATTTAAAAGACACAAAATAACTTTCAGTACTTTTAGAGCACTAAGCTGTATTGAATTAAGGGTTGTATGCTAATATATTATTTTGATCATAAGTAAAATAGTTGAGTAAAAGCCTAGCATACCTGTATGTCTCATCCACTTGGTCATTTGTGAAGCTTTTGTTTTTAATCCTCAATATGTGTTCAGTGCCATGCTTGGTACTGAAGTTAAAAAATGAGTGAGACTTTCACAGGGGTAAGCAATGTAGCCCACAAGCCAAATCCAGCCTGTCACCTTTTTTTTGCATGTCCAGGGAGCTAAGAATATATTTTACATTTTTAAATGGCTGAAAAAATCAAAAGGAGAGTAATATTTGTGAGGTGAAAATTATTTGGAATTTGAATTTTAGGGTCTATAAATGAAGTTTTATTGGAACAAAGCTACACTTATTTATGTATTGTCTATGGCTAAAACAGCAGAGTTCAGAAGTTGTAAACAAGACCGCATAGCCTATAAAGCCTGACGTATTTATCATCTGATGCTTTGCAAAAAAAGTTTGTCCACCCATGGCCTTTTGGATGACAACAAGTCATCTTTACTCACATTTTTTTATTTTCTCACTTTTACCTTTGGTTCTTTAGTAATCCGAATAATGTTAGGTTTCCTTCCTTATATTTTTAATTTTAGATGGAGCAAAGAAAAAATGCTTTTTTGCCATATTGAAGTGTATTGCCTCATTGTTTCAATAGACAATATAGCCTAATAAAAATAAAATATCCCTTATTCTAAATAATATATAGAATTCTGCACTTTAAAAATTAATACAATGAATTTGTTGTACATTAAGTAAAATCTCACTGTTAAAAATAATTTTAAACTGAGAAAAAGTAATTTGAAACTGACATTCTTAGGAATGCCTCATAACAAAAGTATGCTGATATAATTGATGATTATACTCAAACAAAAGAAGAAATAGCAAAAATACCAGGAAACTGTAAATTTGACATAAGGAATATTTATTTAAAAGAGTTCTTATAACTGTTTCATTATGGAAGTGAAGAGGCATCAGACAAAATGACCTCTTTCAAGAGGGAAAATACTACAAAATGGTACCAAAGAAACCTGACTTAGGAAAAGACTCTGAATTTTAGAAGGTATATTCTGTTTATAGACTACTTTTAGGTTGCTTTGGGGCAGATTAATATCTAAGCTTTTCTACAAATTTTTTTCACTTAGGTTATTAGATTTTTTTCATGAAAATGTCAGTTTTCTAGTACAAATTAAAGAAAGTTACAAAAATTGTTTTATAATCAATTTGTTGAAATATATGTATTTCATAATTTTAAGTGTGTGTTTACTATAAGACAGGTATTATTTTATGTAGTCATTAGTCATTTTTCTTTCTTATATTGTAATGCTTCAAAAATAAGAACACTGTATAAGCCCTGGGAAGAAGAAAAAATTGACCTAAGTTACTAACAACATGTTAATGATTTTCAGTTTGTTACTCTTGTGAAAGAGAGTGAGAATTTACATTTAATAACTCACCTAAAAGTTAATATTGGCCATTTTCACAATCAGAAAACACTCTCCTACATTTTAACAGAAGCATAGCAAAAAATACCATATTTAATCATTTGTTTTTGATAGAAAATTTGATTTTGTTTTGAGTAAAATAAAATACCTGTTATACATGGTAAGGCTAAAATTAGTCATATTGAACTAGGATTTTGACTATCTTAAAATTGTTCTATGCAAATAGGATAATTTAACAATATTAAATTGCTTACAAAGCAGAATACTAGAAACCCTTATACCTGAAGTATTTAAAACTAAATTTAATAAAATGTTCCATCCCTCTACAGTCAGATTTGATGGTTATATTTGATGGCATTTTAAGGAGCTCATCCTAATTTTATGAAATAGTTCCCATGTCATATCTTTGTCTAAACACGTTGGCATGCAATATGGTATAGTGGAAAAAGCTTACACTATAGAGTCAGATTCCTAAATTTAAATATTAGTGCTACTACTTACTAACTATGAAACTTAAGGCAAGTTGACCTGTTCAAATCTGTTTTCTCATCTGCTAAATTAGCTAATTTTTCTCATCTGCTAAATTAGCTGATGCCTACCTACATCTCAAAATTGTTGATTCTAATAATAAAAATAGTCAATAATAACAACTAACACTTACATATAGCAATTACTGTGTGCAAATAACTCTTTTAAGCATATGTTAACTCATTTATTCTTCAAAACAACCATATGAGGCCAGGTGTGGTGGCTCATGCCTGTAATCCCAGCCCTTTGGGAGGCCGAGGTGGGTGGATCACTTGAGGTCAGGATTTTGAGACCAGCCTGGCCAACATGGTGAAACCCATGTCTACTAAAATACAAAAAAATTAGCCAGGCATGTTGTTGCATGGCTGTGGTCCCAGCTACTCAGGAGGCCGAATCACGAGAATCACTTGAACCCAGGAGGCGGAAGTTGCAGTGAGCAAAGATGGGGCCACTGCATTCCAACCTGGGTGACAGAGTGAGACCCTGTTTTAAAAAATAAATAAATAAGATATGTATAAGGAAGGTACTATTTATTGTTATCTCTGCCTTAAAGATGGAGAAACTGTGACACAGATTGATTCATTGACTTGCCCAAGACTTTTCAAGTAGTAAATGGCAATAAATGCATGTAAAAGGATCTAACATAATGCCTGTAATCTTTGTAGATGCTCAGTATTTGTTCTTTTTCTTCCTCATTTAATTAACAGTACTACCTGTTATCTCTAATTAGATATGGTAGCTCCAAATACTTTTGCTACTAACCATTGTGCTTCTGATAGCTATTGTTAACTACAAACATAATTGGTGGATATGTCTTAAAAATAAGGACTTGTCTTGAAACAGCCAGATATGTGAAAAAATAACTTTTTAGTAATAGCCCACTTTATATCTGGGTTTTATAATTATTTTTGTATTGTCCACTGAAAGCAGAATTTTTTTTTTTGTATCATAGGCACACTTAAGACCTTTCTGTTTGGTAAGAACAGCATTCATTTTCTTTGTTCAATGTAACAAATATTTATGAAGCACCTTGGACTTTATCAAACCTAAAGCTAAAGTACATATACTCCTAAAATAGTCATATGACAATTCAAGACAGTTTAAACCTGGTACCAGAAATATTTAGCCAATTCAGGCAAAAAGATTTATTCAAAGAGAAAGATTAAAAGAGAGCTTGAGTAATGAGTGAAATTTTTATAAAATTCAGGCTAAAATTGAATGGGATTTAGGTTTTGAAAAAGGAAGACCTTAAAGGTAGGAGTAAAGAAGAAGGAAAATATATGAGCAAGGCACAGAGAAATACAAACATAAAATCTTTCTGGCTAAAACAGAGAATTCACTTTACGTAGAAGGATGGATACACTAGACCTACATTATTTTATTTCTTTCAGACTGGCTAGAGAGGTACCAAATACAGAAATGAGAGATTTACTGTATTAGTCTGTTCTCACATCGCTAATAAAGACGTACACAAGTCTGGGTAATTTGTAAAAGAAAGAGGCTTAATTGACTCACAGTTCAGCAGGGTGTGGTAGGCCTTAGGAAACTTACAATCATGGTGGAAGTTGAAGCAAACACATCCTTCTTCACATGGCGGCAGCAAGTAGAAGTACAGAGCAACAGGGGGAAAAGCCCCTTATAAAAACATCAGATCTCAGGAGAACTCACTATCATGAGAACCATGAGAAAAGCATGAGGGTAACTGCCCCATGATTAAATTATTAGTACCTCCCACCAAGTCCCTCCCATTACACATAGAGATTATGGGAATTACAATTCAAGACCAGATTTGGGTGGGACACAGCCAAACCATATCACTGCCGTTATTCAGAGATTCCTTGGAAACGAGAATTCATGAGTCTCCTATCAGCCAGTATAGACAGTAAAATCATGCTTTCAGGACTTTCTTAGACTCTTTTTTGAATCAGCATTTATTCGAATGCACATGAATACATTCCTCAGTAGGACTAACTTTATTCTCTTTGGAGGTTGTTTTTATGCCCTGGTTAAAAAAAAAAAAAAAGTTCTGATGTAATCTGCAAACCTAGTAACTATCCATTTATTTACTTATTAAATTTAAACTGCTGAGAGGCACACAATTCCAATTTTGTTGATTTGTTGTCTGGAAACCTTTTCAGTCAATATTTCCCTTAGAATCAAGAATCAAGACAATCGGAATATGTAATCATAGATTTGTCAGTGCTATATCTTAATTAGCTTAGCATTTGTATAAAATTACAAACTTTATAATAGTGGAGAAATCATAGTATCTCAGAGTTTGAAGAGAACAAAGACCTTCATGTTCAAAGCCCTAGCATGCCCTTTTCATCATTCCAGCCTGAACATTTCAACCATCACTTCTTCTATCGAAGAGTTCATTGTTTAGACAACTCTACTTGTTTGAAAGTCTAAATATATCAAACTGAAATCTGTCACCTTATAATTTCTACCCACTTGTCCTAATTTTGCTCTTGGCTGTGCTCAAAAGAAGGTTAATTCCTCCTCTGCATGACATTTCTGATATTTGAAAAGAAATGTTATGTTTCTCCTTAAGTCCACTTACTTATGGATTATTTTTGCATTTAATTTTTCTACCAGGCACAGACTTACCCAAAACATACATCCTCTATTTTTTATGCATGAAAAAAGAAAAGCTCCATAGTAAAATGGTGCCAGTATAAAAATTACAGGTACAAAATTAGACCATTTAGATAAATAATTAGAGCAATAACTGACTTTGCATTTAAGACTGTTAAGTTTTGAAATATGTCCCATCAATACCTAATTTATTGAGAGTTTTTAATATGAAAGTTGTTGAATTTTCTCAAAGGCCTTTTCTGCATGTATTGAGATAATCATGTGGTTTTTGTCTTTGGCTCTGTTTATATGCTGGATTACATTTATTGATTTGCGTATATTGAACCAGCCTTGCATCCCAGGGATGAAGCCCACTTGATCATGGTGGATAAGCTTTTTGATGTGCTGCTGGATTCGGTTTGCCAGTATTTTATTGAGGATTTTTGCATCAATGTTCATCAAGGGTATTGGTCTAAAATTCTCTTTTATGGTTGTGTCTCTGCCCGGCTTTGGTATCAGAATGATGCTGGCCTCATAAAATGAGTTAGGGAGGATTCCCTCTTTTTCTATTGATTGGAATAGTTTCAGAAGGAATGGTACCAGTTCCTCCTTGTACCTCTGGTAGAATTCGGCTGTGAATCCATCTGGTCCTGGACTCTTTTTGGTTGGTAAGCTATTGATTATTGCCACAATTTCAGATCCTGTTATTGGTCTATTCAGAGATTCAACTTCTTCCTGGTTTAGTCTTGGGAGAGTGTATGTGTCAAGGAATTTATCCATTTCTTCTAGATTTTCTAGTTTATTTGCGTAGAGGTGTTTGTAGTATTCTCTGATGGTAGTTTGTATTTCTGTGGGATCGGTAGTGATATCCCCTTTTTCATTTTTTATTGTGTCTATTTGATTCTTCTCTCTTTTTTTCTTTATTAGTCTTGCTAGCGGTCTATCAATTTTGTTGATCCTTTCAAAAAACCAGCTCCTGGATTCATTAATTTTTTGAAGGGTTTTTTGTGTCTCTATTTCCTTCAGTTCTGCTCTGATTTTAGTTATTTCTTGCCTTCTGCTAGCTTTTGAATGTGTTTGCTCTTGCTTTTCTAGTTCTTTTAATTGTGATGTGAGGGTGTCAATTTTGGATCTTTCCTGCTTTCTCTTGTGGGCATTTAGTGCTATAAATTTCCCTCTACACACTGCTTTGAATATTGATGGGACATATTTCAAAATAATAAGAGCTATCTATGACAAACCCACAGCCAATATCATACTGAATGGGCAAAAACTGGAAGCATTCCCTTTGAAAACTGGCACAAGACAGGGATGCCCTCTCTCACCACTCCTATTCAACATAGTGTTGGAAGTTCTGGCCAGGGCAATTAGGCAGGAGAAGGAAATAAAGGGTATTCAATTAGGAAAAGAGGAAGTCAAATTGTCCGTGTCTGCAGATGACATGATTGTATATCTAGAAAACCCCATTGTCTCAGCCCAAAATCTCCTTAAGCTGATAAGCAACTTCAGCAAAGTCTCAGGATACAAAATCAATGTGCAAAAATCACAAGCATTCCTATACACCAACAACAGACAGAGAGCCAAATCGTGAGTGAACTCCCATTCACAATTGCTTCAAACAGAATAAAATACCTAGGAATCCAACTTACAAGGGATGTGAAGGACCTCTTCAAGGAGAACTACAAACCACTGCTCAAGGAAATAAAAGAGGATACAAACAAATGGAAGAACATTCCATGCTCATGGGTAGGAAGAATCAATATCGTGAAAATGGCCATACTGCCCAAGGTAATTTACAGATTCAATGCCATCCCCATCAAGCTACCAATGCCTTTCTTCACAGAATTGGAAAAAACTACTTTAAAGTTCATATGGAACCAAAAAAGAGCCCGCATCGCCAAGTCAATCCTAAGCCAAAAGAACAAAGCTGGAGGCATCACACTACCTGACTTCAAACTATACTACAAGGCTACAATAACCAAAACAGCGTGGTACTGGTACCAAAACAGAGATATAGATCAATGGAACAGAACAGAGCCCTCAGAAATAACACCGCATATCTACAACTATCTGATCTTTGACAAACCTGAGAAAAACAAGCAATGGGGAAAGGATTCCCTATTTAATAAATGGTGCTGGGAAAACTGGCTAGCCGTATGTAGAAAGCTGAAACTGGATCCCTTCCTTACACCTTATACAAAAATCAATTCAAGATGGATTAAAGACTTAAATGTTAGACCTAAAACCATAAAAACCCTAGAAGAAAACCTAGGCATTACCATTCAGGACATAGGCATGGGCAAGGACTTCATGTCTAAAACACCAAAAGCAATGGCAACAAAAGCCAAAATTGACAAATGGGATCTAATTAAACTAAAGAGCTTCTGCACAGCAAAAGAAACTACCATCAGAGTGAACAGGCAACCTACAAAATGGGAGAAAATTTTCGCAACCTACTCATCTGACAAAGCACTAATATCCAGAATCTACAATGAACTCAAACAAATTTACAAGAAAAAAACAAACAACCCCATCAAAAAGAGGGCGAAGGACATGAACAGACACTTCTCAAAAGAAGACATTTATGCAGCCAGAAAACACATGAAAAAATGCTCACCGTCACTGGCCATCAGAGAAATGCAAATCAAAACCACAATGAGATACCATCTCACACCAGTTAGAATGGCAATCATTAAAAAGTCAGGAAACAACAGGTGCTGGAGAGGATGTGGAGAAATAGGAACACTTTTACACTGTTGGTGGGACTGTAAACTAGTTCAACCATTGTGGAAGTCAGTGTGGCGATTCCTCAGGGATCTAGAACTAGAAATACCATTTGACCCAGCCATCCCATTACTGGGTATATACCCAAAGGATTATAAATCATGCTGCTATAAAGACACATGCACACGTATGTTTATTACGGCATTATTCACAATAGCAAAGACTTGGAACCAACCCAAATGTCCAACAATGATAGACTGGATTAAGAAAATGTGGCATATGTACACCATGGAATACTATGCAGCCATAAAAAATGATGAGTTCATGTCCTTTGTAGGGACATGGATGAAATTGGGAACCATCATTCTCAGTAAACTATCGCAAGAACAAAAAACCAAACACCGCATGTTCTCACTCATAGGTGGGAATTGAACAATGAGATCACATGGACACAGGAAGGGGAACATCACACTCTGGGGACTGTTGTGGGGTGGGGGGAGGGGGGAGGGATAGCATTGGGAGATATACCTAATGCTAGATGACGAGTTAGTGGGTGCAGCACACCAGCATGGCACATGTATACGTATGTAACTAACCTGCACAATGTGCACATGTACCCTAAAACTTAAAGTATAATAAAAATAAATAAATAAATAAAAATAAATAAATAAATAAATAAATAAATAAATAAATAAATAAAAAGACTGTTAAGTTGAAAGGGTCCTATTCCACACAGTAGCACTAAAGAGGGAAGAGTACATTGTTCCTTGAGGTCAGAATTTTTGCAATTTTGAGAATAAGGCAAAAACAAAAATTTCCTATATGAAGAACCCACAAATAAAAATTATATATTCAATTTCCTTTAAATATATATCCTAATTGTATACCTACTCTATGTCAGAATATGTGCTCAGCTTTTATGGGGCCCTATGGATACGAGAGATCATATGTTAAATAAACATACAAGCAAGTGTAGATGCAAGTGATGGTAAGTTCTGTTTCTAATTACAGTTCTAACTAGAAAAATAGTGTTGCCCATATAACCTTTTATGGAGTAGCATAACATACTGCTTAATTCTGCTCTGTAATGGGGCATAAAATTAATAATAATAAAAATAACATAGTGGTTAAGAGCACAGACTATTTGGGTTTGAATCTTAGATCCACCTGTTATTAGTGTGCAACCCCATGCAATTTACTTAACTTTAAAAACCTGTTTTCTTATGTGTAAAATGATAGTAAGAGTACTTGCCTCATAGGGTACTTACGTTATGTAAATAATATAAGCAAGGCACTAAAAACAATATTTCCTTGCTATATAAATCTTTGCTATTGTTATCTACAATATGTTTAGAAAGAGCTTTAGCTTTAAAAATAAGTAGATGATGGTGGAATAAATATTATAAGAATTATTCTCTGAAAGAAAAATCAAACAAGATAGAACTTAAAGTACACAATAGTATAGTTGCAGAAAAGGAAAAAGAAATATCAAAGAAGACATGTTAAATCCTTGTTTTAGCTTGAATTTATCAGTGATGATATCTTGAAATCACCTTTCCAGTTCACCCTTCCAAATCTACTCTTGTAAAATGAAAAGAGGCTAGCATACCAGAATACTTTGGTTTTGCAAAATATGTGCTAAGAAATTAACAACAAAATATAAATAAATATTTTGCAGATATATTAGTAAAATGCTAAAAGTATATTTATCTAGAGACATAGTCTAAGGAATGAAGATTTCAGGATATTCCTTTCTTTACTACTGTCTGGAATCAGGAATATGGATTTCTCTCTCTGTGTATTAGGTATCCATCTATGAAATGGACTTACTGTTGCCTTTCACATAAAATGTAATAAGATGACAACAAATGAGTACTTTATATCTGTCAAGTACTATGAACTTCTCAGAATAATATCACTGAATTAGAAGGGCAGAATATTTGTAACTTTGTTGTTACTGCCTGCCATAAAAGGCATCTGATAGGGATTCAGAAAGTAGATTGAGGCAACAAAGTAAACAATTTGAATAATTCTAATAATTTTACCAGTATTATTTTCTTATATTGAAACTTGGAACTGCTACTAAAATATGAAGGACAAATGTCCACTGGAGGTAGTAACCATTTTAGATATTTATTAATGGCACATAGATGAGAATTAGCAGAAAGGATCCAAGTTCCTTCAAAAGATGCTGAGAAGAAAGAAGCAGTAAACCTCTCTTGTATGTACAGTTTGAAAATGATGGTTGTCAGTTTCACTGAATGAACGAGACCGAAGGCCAAAGGCAACAATGTGGAAGAAGCAGTCCATCATGCTGGAAGGACTAATTGATATACAAAGAAATAAATTATACTTCTCTATGAAGAATGAAGATAACATTATAGCCATGAGTGCCACTGGGATAATTTAAGTGTCTTACCCCTCAGCTTCTTCACTCCTTTCTATAGGTTGTATTGCAGCAAATAACATAATATCCTTACGTGGAATAATCCTCAGGCTAAACCTTTATGGAAAGAAAAGCTAGGTCAGTTTTGATTAGGAGGTGCTTCTGAATGCAGTTTTACAAAATTTTTTAAATACTCTTTTTTTACAAAATGGAGGTATTTGAACCAGAGAGAATATAATTGTTAGTTTTGAATATTGTATAACTATAATGGAGTCTTATTATAATGTGTCAATTGTCTGCTGTGATTCAAGATTACATTGTATAGGCAAACCCATTATAATGAGGTCACTTTAATACCCCCATTGATGAGATTCAAAAGAAATTCATATCATGCTAATTTCTGACTATTGTTAGGGTATGTATTTAGAAGTTTAGTTAATTGTGTGATACTTTGATATAAGTTTCCATTTATGGGCCCTATTTACTTCCTCTTTCATTCTCTCCCATTTTGCCATTTTCAAGACTTACTGGTATTGTACTTTGTCCTTCGAGATGGCGCTGCTCTGTGGGGTAGATAGATGAATGAATATCACCCTCTTTAATAAATAATATTTAGAGGAATGAGAGGTTACTTGTATATAATATTGAAAGCAGGCCAGTTGTGGTAGCTCATGCCTGTAATCCCAGCACTTTGGGAGGTCAAGGTGGGCAGATCACCTGAGGTCAGGAGTTCGAGACCAGCCTGGCCAACACGGTGAAACCCCGTCTCTACTAAAAATAGAAAAAATAGCCAGGCATGATGACATGCCCCTGTAATCCCATCTACTCGGGAGGCTGAGGCAGGAGAATCATTTGTACCCAGTAGGTGGAGGTTGCAATGAGCCAAGATTGCGCCACTGCACTCCAGCCTGGGTAACAGAGCGAGACACTGTCTCAAAAATAAAAAATAAAACTAATAATAATATTGAAAGCAAATCCTAGTATAAGTATACATTCCCCCAAACATTTACCATGGACAATAGTAGCAGCAATATTAACAGTAAATTCTAGTCTATCTTTGCTCAAATTTTAGTTATTGCTCTTTGCCTTCTAAATATAAAATACTATAGGACAGGGGTCAGCAAACCTATTTAAAAGGGCCAGATGGTAAATTTTTTAGATTTTGTAGGCATATGGTCTCTGTCAAAACTACCCAACTCTGCCAGACCGGTAGCACAGAGGCAGCCACAGATGATGTAAATGAATGAGCCTGGCTGTGCTCTAATAAAACTTTATTACGGCCACTGAATTTGGATTTCATATATTTCTACGTGTCATGAAATATTATTCTTCTTTTGATTATCTCTTGAATCATTAAAAAATACAAAGATCACTTATAGAGTGCAGGCCATACAAAAAAAAAAAAAAAAAACAGGAAATGGGCAGGATTTGGCCCTTGGGCTGTAGTTTGCCAACCCCTGTTTTAGAACATTCCTATTCTATAGTACACTGGCGTCTGCTCTGTTAATCTTAAAGCTCATAGTATGTGAGCTTTCAGAAGAATACTCTGAAAAATTGAGATTGAGAGAGGAAGCCCCATAAGAAGTTAATGCTTCATGGACTCAAATATGTACTTAAAGCCTACTAGATAGATATAGATATAGATATAGATATAGATATAGATATAGATATAGATATAGATATAGATATAGGTATAGATATAGATATATACATGCCAGGCACTGTTTAAGATGTTGAGATAGAGCAATGAGTTAAGAAGTCACAAGTCCCTACCTTTATGGAATTTACATTTTAGTGAGAGGATACAAGCTATTAAAAAACAAGTAAACTCTATAGAACTGGAGATGGTAAGCGCTATGTTTAAAAATTAACCAGGGAGGGAGGATAGGTAGCCCAGGTAGGAAAGAGGGTTATAATTTTAAATAGGGTCATCCATTAAGGAAGGCCTCATTGATAAGATGACATTTGAACAAAGACCTAAAGGAGGAGAGAGAGGAAGCCATGGATCATGTGGAACCTGTATGCCACCCTTAGTGTAACAGAGTAGAGGCATGGCATGAACTGACATATTTTAATGGGAAAACAAGTTAGGAGACTATTAAAATAATCCAGGTGGAAAATGACAGTGGCTTAGACCAATGATAGAGGTGGAGGTAGTGAGAAGTAGATTACTGATATATTTTGAAGGGAGAGGTAAACAGATGCAATAAGATAAAGAGAGAAGTCAGGTATAAGACCCAAGATTTGCCTTGGGAATTAGAAGAATGTAGTTTCCATTTACTGAAATGGAGAAGACTATGGGAAAAGTAGGTTTGAGGGGGAAGATCAGGAATTTTACTTTGGTTATGGAAACCTGAACTTCCTTTAGATATCCAAGTGGAGATACTGAATTGCAATTAGATATTAAGTATATGAGGCCGGGCATGGTGACTCACACCTGTAATCCCAGCACTTTGGGAGGTTGAGGTGGGTGGATCACATAAAGTCAGGAGTTCAAGACCAGCCTGGACAACCGGGTGAAACCCTGTCTCTAGTAAAAAAGAAAAGAAAAGAAAAGAAAAAAGCCAGACCTGGTGGTGCACGCCTGTAATCCCAGCTACTCGGGAGGCTGAGGCAGGCGAATTGCTTGAACCCAAGAGGCAAGGTTTGCAGTGAGCTGAGATTGCACCACTGCACTCCAGCCTGGGTGACAGAGTAAGACTCCTTCCCCCCGCCCCCGCCCCAACCCCCCCAGCCCCGCCCAAAAAAAGTAGATATTAGGTATATGTATCTAGACTTCAGTAGGAAAATCTGGGCTAGAAATATTATTTTTGGAGTCATCAACATATAAATGGAATTAAAATCCATCACAATTGATGAGATCACCAAGATATTTACTGGTATTACTATTTGTTGATTGATATTACTGCCCCTGATTCTTTCTCATCCACTTTCAAAGAGGTAGGTAGTTTCTAGTAATCTGTCCCCTCTGCTCATTCACAAAGAGTGGAAGGGATCCCACTGAATTAGAAACCCGACCTACACAGGAAGTACCATTAGTTGACCATCTTCCCATTTTGCCGTGGTGTAAACATATGAGTGAATTTTTCCAAGTACCTCCTTGCTGGAAACTGTTTGCACTGGAGGTAAGTGTGAAAGGGGAGGTTGTGGGGAATGATGGGGTGAGGGCTGCCTAAACTTTTCCCATAACTCAGAAATGGTTTCATTCTGAGGAAGGGAGAAGGTTCAGGCTGGTTCTTATTTCCCTGAACCAGTTTGTACAGCCCTAAATTTGACCTGCTTTCCTCAAACTGGGAGTCAGAAATCCCTTTTCTCTTCTGTTTTTCTGCTGCAGAAATTCCCAACATTCCCATTTTGTGGGCTCCAGAAAGGGGTAAGCGAAGACTTCAATCCCAGCCAATCATTTTCAGATTAATAATTTTTAGTGTTTTGGTTTCTTTTATCATCATAAAAAATGCTTGGATCCATTTTTCACATCTGTTTAATTTCCTTGTGGATTGTTATGTATCTATGTTCTAGGGTCATTCTGTATCCCTGGGCAATAGAGTTCAGATCCATCTGCTATTTCCATTTGTGTGCTGTTCTCTTGTGGATTCTCATTTGCAGTTTATTGATTACTGTATCCTAGATGGAAGACACCCAATTCAGGGGACTGCCTCACTCTCAATCTCATCTTTTCCTGAATGGTGTTTTATTCCTCTGCTGAGAGCTTGCTATTACACTACCCAACTGCTTCTGATGATCTGTCATTGTTTCTCTACTGTTCTGTCTTCCTGCTTGATTGCCTTTGGTTTTTGTCTCTCCTTTTTGCCTCACTTCACTCATCTGCTGAATGATTTGCATTCTTCACTCACTGGTGCTTTGTCCGTCAGCAAATGGCCTGGTACTGCCATATCCATCTGCTATTTTAGCATTTTAGACTGCCCAGCATTATCTATCTGCTCCCCTACAATTCCCCTATACTATGGCCTAACAAGTGCTATGCCATCTGCCTGCCTGATCTTGCCCTGCCCAATCTATGCCTGTAACACTGTAAGTAGGTGAGATTGTTTAGCATTTCTGCTATCATCTACACTTGCCTTGTGCCACTGAGTTAGACTGCTGACTGAGTTAGACTGCTGACTGAGTTTGCTTGACTGTTGCCTCCTCTACCTATTTGCTACCTATGGCTGCCCCATTAATTTATTTGAGATATTGAAATCATCTCCTTTGTACTTGCAACTTGCTGATTGGCCTGTGTTGCCTCCTTTACAGTTTGCTGCATTTAAAAAATCACTGGCATTGCTCCTCTGTTGTCTTGTAACCCTGATCATATTTTATTTCCAATAAAAGTTTTGCCTACATATCGTCCAAACATCTTAGAAATAGGAAAATGCTTTGCTATCTAACAGCCCAGTCCAGTTTGCTCCTAAACTGACTTTTTAAACTACCACCTGTCCTTTCTGCTTTTTTATACAGCTCCATATTCTTCTCTTTATGTAAGAATATATTTTTTTATAAATAATCATCTTTGCTTAAGTTTTCCTTTCACATCATATATTATGTACATTTATTTCTTGTGTATGGGATCTTTTAATAATTTTCCATATACTAAAATTATTTCTTAATTTATTATTCCTAAATTTTCCAGGGTTTTATAAGGATAAGTTACTCCTATTAATTTTATCCTTTTTAATAAGACCAGAAGATTTTTTTGCAACTTTAAAAGCATCATCTCTAAAAATAAATTTAATTATCTTATAATTCTTTGTAGTTTAGATTAAAGTAGCTTTCTGCTCTGCTCTATTTTTTCCTTTGAGAATATCATTTCTCAGCTTCCTCATAGTTTACGTAATACCAGTTCTTTAGAGATCCTTTAGATGTATTTATCTTCCTTCCTTTTAAACTCTTTTCTTGTATGTTGGGTAAACCTTTGAAATTGATATTTTCTCATTATTGTATTTGCAAAGTACTTGGCATCTAAAAATAACTTGCAACATAACATTATCTGCACTGTAAAACTTACAGTCTTATTTGCTTATATTTAAATGAAAGCTCAAATACAAGAACCAAAGAAGAATTTTGGTGAAATTTGCAAGAGTCTAAGGAGGAGATGTAAAGTGGGGTGTGTATGTGTGCATGCATATGTGTATATAGAGATTTGAAGTGTTTTATGTGTGTATCTACAATGTCATTGTGCTCGAAGTGTGGAAAATGCTGAGTATCCATATTAAATTTTATTTTTACAAAAAAATCTAAAGAGGTGATAGATTTAGGGATACGGAAAAAGTATGGATGGGTTTTTATTTTCTTTTAATAATATAGATAAAATTTGTCAGTGTGAAGAAAAAGGATGCTCTAGGGAAGTTAAAATCATTTCAGTAGCTTTTTAAAATTTTGGTAAAATATAAACATAAAATTTACCATTTTAACCAATTTTAAGTGTACAATTCAGTGATATTAGCACATTCACAGTTTTGTGCAACCGTCACCACTGTTTCTAGAACTTTTATCATCCCATTTAGAAACTCTGTACCCATTAAACAAAAACTCCCCATTCCTCCCTCCCCCAACCCCTGGTAAACTATAATCTACTTTCTGTCTTTATAAATTTGCCTGTTCTAGATACCTCATATAAGTGGAATCATACCAGTTTTGTCTTTCAGTGTCTAGCTTATTTCACTTAGCAAAATGTTTTCAGGGTTCATTTATATTATATCATGTATTAGAATTTCATCCCTTTTTAACTCTGACCATTATTCCACTGTATGTATATACCACAACTTTTTTATCAGTTCACCTGTTGGTGGACACTGGGTTGTTTTCAGCTTTTAGCTTTTACAAATAATGCTCCTACAAACATTGGCATGCAAGTATCTGTTTTTCTTTTGGTTATATAACTAGAAATGGATTCAATAGCATTTAATACTTTAGTCCAAGAAGAAATTAAATTAATAGCAAAGAGATCAGGGAAACCACATAATTAATATGAAAGATTAATAAGTCCAAGATATGATATTAGGAGCAGAAGAAATTATAAACTTTTAGAAAGGCTACAGAAGGCCAAATGATAAAATTTAGAAGACTATTCTATGAATAAAAGGGAGAATGAAGTTAAAATGACACAGATCTTGGATGATTGTAAGAAAACAAAAATGATTCTGAAGAAAGTTAAATTTTAAAAAAATAACCAACTTAAGGACAGTATGATGGCACATCTTTGAAATGGAATAATGTGGGCTTTTATAGAGGAGAGAGGTAGGCATTTGAAAGGCAAGGTTTAAATGAAGATGACTAAGATGAGGGAACCAGGTCATGTTTAGAGGAACCAGCAATGGGAACAGGAATTCATTTCAATCCAGAGATCCTTCATCCTGTATACTCAGCCTTCTACCACTCATAGACATTTTTCTAAAAAGATTGCTAGGCTCGAACCCCAGAGATTCTGATTCAGTAGGTTTGGAATTCGGTTTAGGTAATGTGCACATACATGCCTCTGTGTGTGTGTGTGTGTGTGTGTGTGTGTGTGTGTGTGTGTCTGTGTGCGTGCGCACACGTGAACGTGTGTCTGTGTGTGTGTTTTAATCCACTGATGAAACACAATATGAGTTAAATTGAACTCTGTACCGTAGTGGCCTAGACCTTATAAGAATTTAAAAAGTTAAAGAGAATTGACCCTTGTCTTCAAGCAGTTTAAAACTGCAGTAGTTAAAAAATGATGGACTTAGGAAAGCAGTTTAAAACTGCAGTAGTTAAAATAATGATGGACTTAGGAAAGAAGACTTTCAATCTGTTAGGTGATAAGTTCTCATTTGTTAATTCAACAATTTTAGGGGGGGTGATTTTTATACACTCTATCCATCCCTTCTCAATTGAGGTTCCCCATCTAAACTATCAAACACAGAAAATTGTTTGACTGTCTTCTCAATTCTCCTAAGGGTGGCACACCAGCTAGTACCATTCTATATGTGTGAGAGATAAGTTAATTCACTAGATACAAAAATTCTCTCAGAACCTTTTAAGAAAGGTTGGGTAATCTGTAGTCTGCTAGGAATATGTGACACAAAGACATAAAACGTGGCTCTTAAGGTGCTCACATTCCAAGAGAGGGGAAAAGACATTTAACAAAAAAAATGCATTTCTAATATCAACCACACAATTTTGTTCTTTTCATCTAATGGTTTGAGGAAAATGTTCAAAGTCACAGTGGCTGTATATAAGGAAATCCTTTCACCTCTTCTAAGCATTATTTATTCAGGAAGAAGAATGTAATAAGAATGATAAAGTCTGTATTACAACTTATCACAGCTGAAGGATGCTGGCAGTAACTTAAATGTCGATAGGAATCTCTTTAATTTTAAAGCCTAGAGCATTCAGTGACAGGTTAGTGATTTCATTGGTAGCTATTAATAAATAACAGTAACTAAAACTAGGCTTATTAGTTTCATAGTAAAGAGTAGAAAATGGGTATAGGTAAGTAGATAACTAATGTCCAATAGGCTGTTCTTGAATGTAATTGCAAGCACAGTGAGAGATTTTTGCCCCCGAAGTACAACTCTTATACCAATAATGAAAATGTTCAGGAATTTAATTTATTCTCACTATCAATTAAAACTCACTAAAATTCCTGCTGTCAGAAGGTTTAGTCATATTCATTAGTTTTTCTTACGGATTTGATTATTTCTGAACTATAAATTTATTTGTGCTCCCTATACTGATTTGTGCATTTAAACTTGAGAGCAGTTAGCTTTCATTCCTATTACTCAGTACTTCACACTGATTCCTTTAGGATAAACTTTACTAACACATTTTTCCTTCTTCCTTCCAATTTCTTACCAAACTTTATTTTAACAGCACAGCTATGGAAAGATCAAGGTTGTCATGTTGAGAAAAGCACAACAATAGAAATTACGACCAGATTTAGCTTGTTTTCTTAGCAATAATGAACAATTTTAAAAGATTTTGCTTTGCCTGCATTCATTCTGAAAAACATTTTAAAGCAGAAAAAGCAGATTATGCCGATATTTTAATAAGGTGGAATAAAGGAAAATATAAGAGTAACATAATTTTATTAAACTCATTTTATTAATAATAAATATACTTTTTCTTATCTTATGATCTCTGAACTCCTATTTTATTTTGAGGAAGCTGAATTTAAAATAGAGTGCTATAACGTGTTTCCTTTGTGTGAAAGTTAATCTGAGAAGGCAAAAGGTCTATCTCATTCTTACTAGGCTTCAAGTCCTTTATATCTAATAACAAGAAAATTCTCTAAATTAGGCAACTACTCCCTAACAAATCATCTATTTTTTCTTTTAGTTTTTTATTTTCTCCACTGAATGACAGCAGAATGTATTCAAGACCTTGCAAAGGATATGGCTGAAGATGTAGCTTCCTTATATAAACATTTTGTGGAGGTTTCCATAAAATGAAGTGAAACTTTTGTGAAGTTTCACTTTTTTTATTTTGAATATAGATAATAACAGTAGCAGGCACTAATAATCAGTCTCCTAGTTTCTTAATCTCTCTTCTCCCCCTATTTGCCCTCCTACCATCAAATACTTCACTGTTGCTGGCAGAAACTAACTCATGGCACAAGAGATCAGGTGGGTGAGAAAGAGATCACTGGGGGAAAGTAAATTGCCCCAGAAAGACTGTTTGGTGCAAAGATCCTTTTTTCACATGTAACAATCTTTAATTTTATGAACATCAAAATCAATACCTGAAAAGTGCACTAGTTAGATATTTGGAATTTTTCAAATACAAACCACCACCAGACTTTTTGTATTTGACTTAGAATGCTTTTTAGATTTCTTATAATATTTAGTACTTATGAAGAAATTTAGTGTTTTTTACTTATATCAGCAACATAAAAACTGCTCAAATTTGATTCCTCAGATGTTCAGGAATCAAATTTTCTTTGGTTTATTCATAGCCGTAGTAGTACATGTATATTTGCATTGTAATCAAAGGTGGTAATCGCCCTACAGAGTTCTTAAGCAGAGGTCCTCAAAGAAAATACTGTATCTCTTATAAGTTAAATTATTTTCTCATCCAATGCTTTCTGATCAAAATTAAGATAGACTCTGTCAGAGGGATAAAATATGAAGTCTGTTTAGATATCCTGCTTCTCATGAAGGTTAGTAACTACATGGTAAGGCTAAAGGCCATCTGTAGAAAGCTTCTCTTTTACCAACAAGAAAACTGGTTTTCAAATTTCTCGTTACTTTCTCGTTAGTGTTAAGATATTAGGAGCACACCATTTTGCATATGATATGTGTTCAACTACAGCATAAAATGACCTTTTTATTGTGAAATGGGTATTCAGTCCATATTGTAATAGAAAAATATATGGTCATTTAGGAGAAGGAAAAGATGACGTTCATCTTTTTAATAACAGAGTTTTAAAATAACTCCTTTTTTACTGAACATGGAAATAATACATGCTTTTTGCAAGAAAAAAAAGAATTTGGGGAAAATATAGCAAAGCAAAATGAAGTTAATAAAAACACCAATAATCTGAACCCACAATTATTACCTAAGACTAATTCATTAATTTGCCCAACTGGGAGCACACCATATATACTGGTTTATATCTTGGTTTTCTTAGTAATATCATCCCAATTATTATAATAATTACTAAAATGTATAGTACACTTACTGTATGCCATGTATTTTTATAAGTACTTTGTATATTATATCTAATTTAATCCACACAAGCCTACAAAATAGGTAGGTACCACTTTACAGATAAGAAAATTATATTTAGAAAGATTAAATGATTAAATAAATTGACTTGGATGTAGCAAAAGATGATAGAACTAGAATTTGAACTAGGTAGTCTTTACTCCAGATCCCTTGCTCTTAGCCACTCTCCTTTTCATATAATGTAAGCTTTTCTTCATTTAATAACTGTTCTACAAAAAAATTGGGATTTGTCAATCACTGAAAAATACTTAAAAACTATGAGTAATTTAATTTCCCTATCATTAAACATTTAGGTTCTTTCCTATTTCCTATCACATTCTCTTTGTATAAATTGTTATGTATACTTCTAATGATCACTTTAGAAATATTTCCTAAAATACAATAACTCACTCAAAATTGTGAAGTTTCATATTACATATTGCTAAATTACCCTCTTAGAATATGTACAAGTTTATGTATTTGTACTATCAGTTTATGAGACTGTATTTCCATTAATCATTGTTAATCTTACCAATCTGGTAGGTGAAAAATTGTATTTTTATTGGCATATTGTAGAATATTAATCATTTTTAATCTTACCAATCTGGTAGGTGAAAAATTGTATTTTTATTGGCATATTGTAGAGTAATTTAAACACTGTTCTTGAATTTATTCAGTTTTGTTTCTCCTTTTATAAACTGCCCAGGTTTTCTGTTTTGTTTTGTTTTTGGCTCAGTAGCTGTTCTTAAATACTGATTGTAACCACAAAGAGGAGTGTAAAGAATTGGTTGTCAAGAAATAATTTTGGTAAGGTCAAATTTATGTTTTGGCTGTATCATTTTGACATATAAACCATTCATTTTCTCATTTCTCAAACTCCGTTAACATACCAGTACTCAATTATTTTATCACTCATGCTCTTAACAACACAGATCAAGCCAAAAATTATATCCTGAATCAAAGGCATTAAGTTAATAAAATACAAACACATTTCTTCCTAATAAGTTAGTTTTTCCCTTTGTGAGATTTTTTCATGGCTGATGCATGATAGTTTATGTTCTAACTATCCTTTTCTTATGTAATGTTCACTGTTAAATAATTTACAGATAGAAACTTATTGAACTTCAGTAATGTAGAATTAATGGTCTATTCATAGATATAAGCCCTGGAAAATAATGTATAATTTGGACTTTTAATACACTTAGCTACTATTAGCAGTCATTTTAAAAAATACCAAATATAAACTCTTACACAATTATTTTGCTTGGCAAACTCATTTTTCTATATAGGAATTCCAAAGGAGACATTATTCTAGCATGCAATTAATATGAATTATATTTGATTATCTAGATATTGAAACCATTTTATAAACTTCTCTGACATGTAGAGCTCAACTTCCTCTTAAGCATTCAAGAGAACCTATTTTTTTTTAGTTGCCCATAATATGCAAACCATTTCAGAACCCAGAGATTTTTGGTGAGTGAATTAACATGTAGTTTGTATTTTTACATGGAAACTATATGTATAAATGGTTTTCAACCAGGGTAAATTTTGGTTCCCCAGGGACATTTGCAATGCCTGGTGACATTTTTGGTTGTTACAATTGGAGGGTACCTAGTGATATCAGGTGGGTAGAGCCCAGGAATGCTGCTAAACATCCTGTAGTGCATGGGACAGTCCCGGCAATAAAGAATTATCTGACCCAAAATGTTAATGCAGAGATTGGAAAAACCCTCATGACATAATATCGAGTACGCACTAACTGCCAGGTTGTGCTGGAGGCTGCGGGTACATGGGTAGAAAGTTATGATCTTACTGGTTAGGAAAGTTACATTTCATTGTGAAACAGAAAGATCTAGATTTTTTAAAGGATAATTTAAATGATAATGAGATTTTAAAAATGATATGATATTAACATATAATAATGTAATATAATTGTTATGTTAATATAATCACATTTTGTTATAAGAATATATAATTATTGTGCTGTGGTAATTTTATGTGTGATAAATATATGACATATTTAGGAACAAAAATTCTGCCTGAGGGACTTACTTAGTTTTGGGAAACTTTCAAAGAAGTGACAAGTGATACTGGCACTGTTTTTGTTGTTGTTGTTTTTATTCCTTACCTTTTATTTAATTTACAAAAAAAAAACCCACAAATAGTAAGTTACACCATAATGGATTTTCAAAAACTGAACATATCTATATAACCATCCAGATCAAGAAACCAGAATATTATCAGTGTCCCAGAAAATGGCCCTTGTTCCCCCTTACAGTCACAGCTCAATCCTCAAGTGTAACTACAACTTTGACTTTTAGCACTACAGATTACTTTTTTTTTTTCAAAGACAGGAGCTCCCTCTGTCACCCAGACTGGAGTTAGAATTACTTTTGTGTTTTACCGAACTTTGTATAAGTGGAACCATATAATATGTAATCTTTTGTGTCTGGATTCTTTTGTTTAGTGTCATTTTTGTAAAATTGATTCATATTATTTCATGTAGTGTTGTTCATTCTCATAACTATATTGTATAATACAGCTATATTTATTAACCCATTCTACTGTAAAGGCACAATGGCTGAAACCGTTAAGTTGACAAATAGGTCAGTTTGGCTGCAGAATGGGTTTTGAGGGAGTGGCAAGAGAGAGCTGGGAAAAGTAGGTAAGGTCAGATGATGGAGGATACCTTTGTCATATTAAAGGCATTTGGATTTTTTTTTCTATTAAGAAATGAGATTTTTCAAAAGATATTAAACAAGGGGAAAATATAATGAGACTTGCATTTTAGAAAGACCATTTTGACAGCAGAATAGAATGGGTTGAGTGGGAGCAAGCTTAGCTGTAGCACCAATCAGGAGGTCATTGGAATAGTTCAGATAAAAGATGCTGAGAACCTAGAAGTAGACAGTGTAGGTGGGGATAGAAAGGGACATATGATTTTCTCTGGATAGAATTAATTGCACTTTTGGAATAACTGAGAATAAGGGTTGCAAAGACTAGTTTTCTGAGCCAACCTTCAAAGCCCGTGTGTATTACTAAAATGCAAAATGTGTGCAATAAAGAAAAATAATAGAATTTAATGTTAGAATTTAAAGTTGAATTCAAAATAATTTTCAAATGTATCTTTAATGTTTGAACTTACAGAAAAACAGATATCATTAGTTGAGAATAAATTAATAAAAATCTTTATGGATAATCTGAAGGAAACTTGGCAACAGTCTAGACTAAAGGTTAATAGTACTGGCCACTTGTTTGTTTTCATTTCAATTTTTAAAGTATGGCTTTCTCTTTTGTTGTTTCAGGATATCACTCATGGTACATTTTGCCACTATTACGGTAGCTTTCAGTTGAGGAGGGAAAAAAATGTGTGTGTGTGCGTGCGCGTGCGCGTGTTCACCTGTGCACACATTCACGCGCTAAATGCAGGAGTTGAGAGAAGAAAGGAAAGGGGGAGTTAAAATATTGCATATGGATGAATAAGAAGAAAAGTGTCTTAAGCAGAATGAACTTAGTTCCCTGTTATTATTTCTGGGTGGGGAAATTGCTCTCTCTTTTTATTTTGTTTGTGCATGCATGCCTAAGGAGAATAAAGGCACTCAGAAAGTTCCCCCATAGTCACCGGGTGATAGCTTCATTTCAAAGATGTATCGTTTTCTATCTGAGACAGTAGTCAAGCTAATTGTCTCTTTGTGACCTACAGAATGCCAGCAATTAGCTTTTGATAAAAAGAACAGTGCCTATCAATGTTTTCAAAGATGAAGAATTCTGACATAAAAAATAAAATTAGTGAACTCTCATTTGATGGTAATTACACCTGTTGTCTATTGACTAAAGCAAATATGTGATACTTTTTAAAATTATGGTCAATTCTGTAAGATTTTTAGATGAATTTGTATCTTATTATAACATCTATATTCATTAAAAGCTCTAATACACATAAATGAGGGTAATTTATTCATTGTATAATCAGTGCTTTTTGCATTAATTGGTGAAAGGCTTCTAATTGCTCTGATATACCTCAGGGTCTGTCCTCCACAAATGAAGAACCACAGGCACTTGATTTTTTTGTTTGTTTCTGTTGCATTTGGGGAACATCTGTATTAGGTCCAAATTTTAGTGAATTCTAAATTTTATGCTTTCAATTAATGATTTTATTGTAGATTTTTAAAAATCAAGTAAAGAGTAATCTTTATACTAATTTATTTTGAAAATGTCAGATTTTGAAAACAACAGACCAATGTAACACTGAGTAAAGCACATCTGCATTTTTAATTTTTAGGAAGAAATATGGATTCCTTTTCTTGTCACATTTATTACTTAAAAAAAATAAAGTATGCCTGTTAATCTTCAACACAGATTCAAAGATGAGAATAGTATGTATTAGTCTGTTGTCATGCTGCTAAAGAGAGACATACCTGAGACTGGGTAACTTATAAAGGAAAGATGTTTGACACACAGTTCCACATGGCTGGGGAGACCTCACAATGATGGCTGAAGACGAATGAGGAGTCATGTCGTACTTGGCAGCAGGCAAGAGAGCTTGTGCAGGGGAACTCCCATTTATAAAACCATCAGATCTCATGAGACTTATTCAATACCACAAGAACCAATGGGGGAAGCACCCCCATGATTCAATTATCTCCACCTGGCCCCGCCCAGGGCACAAGGGGATTATTACAATTCAAGGTGAGATTTGGGTAGGGGCACAGCCAAACCATATCATACTATAATGGCAAAAATTTAAAGAATCAAGGAGCTACCTTGCTTTGTATTTGCTTCTACTTTTCTTCATCAGTTTTATCAAAAACAGATTTTGGCACTGTATTTTTACCTCCATAATTTGAGTTTTTACTGAAGGATCCTTGAGAGTATTAAAAGCATGGCAATTAGCTAGAAGCAAGAGTTCTTTTTCTATTTTGCCGTTAGTTTATCTGCCATATTCCTTATCATATCATTTTATCACCAAATGAAGTCCTAAAATCAACAAATGAGAAACTTTTAAAAGTACTTTGACATCATCTTGTATTCAATCAAGAAAATATTGAGACTTTACTAGTTTTAAGTGAGAAAGAATTAAAAGTATTAGTTGTGGCAAAGATTTAGTCCCTTAACCCGAATATTTGTTAAAATCAAAGAACAAAATAACCTATCTAATCACTGCAAATCATTCTTATCTAAATGTTGCCATCACAGGAGTAGCCAGGTATCATTAGTGTAATCTTCAGTCTCAATACCCTTCAGTCATGAGTCCAATAACTCAAACCTCATTTCAAGTTCACATTCCTTTTATCCCAAATAATGGAAAAATGGGAAGAATAGTACCCTTTCTTTTTTGTCTAAGCTATTAACTGCATATGCCTGAATGGAAGATGACAGCAACTATAATATGAGACACCTATTTTCCCAATGAGAAGATCCATAAATGGGGGGATTATCCATCTTAAATGTACATACTTTTAGCAATTTAGATAAAATAGTGGAACACTTAGGTTAACTAATTTAAAACACAAATATAAATTTAAAGCCACATTGAAAATAGTATATTATTTAGGACAACTGATTCTTTTTCATGGCAATTTTTTGAAAGGTGTTATGCAAAGTCTCAACATATACCATTAACATCAATGTCTTTATTATCATTTCCAGAGTCTAAGTAATTTAAAAGTTTTCCATGCTATATCATCTTTTGTTTAACAGCTCTATTGAGATATAATTCACATATCATACAATTCATTCATTGAAAGTGTAAAATTTAATGGTTTTTGGTATATTACATTTATTTTCTAAATTGTGGCAAAATATGTATAGCACAAAACTTGCTATTTTAGCCTTTTTTTTTTTTTTTCTTCTGAGACGTAGTCTCACTCTGTCACCCAGACTGGAGTGCAGTGGCACGATCTCAGCTCACTGCAACTTCTGCCCCCCGGATTCAAGCGATTCTCCTGCCTCAGCCTCCTGAGTAGCTGGGATTACAGGTGCGTGCCACCAAGCCCAGCTAATTTTTGTATTGTAGTAGAGACAGGGTTTCACCATGTTAGCCAAGCTGGCCTCCAACTCCTGACCTTAGGTGATCTGCCCACCGCAGCCTCCCTAAGTGTTGGGATTATAGGCATGAGCCACCGTGCCTGGCCCTAATTTAGCCATTTTTAAGTGTACAGTTCATTGGTATTAATTATATTCACAATGTTGTACAATTATCACTACTACCTGTTTTTAAAACTTTTTCATCACCCCAGAAACTCTGTAACCTTTAAGCAATAACTCCCCATTTCTTCCTTCCCATAATCCCTGGTAACCTTTAATCTACTTTCTATCTTTATAAATTTTCCTATTGTAAATATTTCATGTAAGTGCAGCCACACAATAATTCTCCTTTTGTGCATGGCTTTTTTCATTTAGCCTAATGTCTTCTCAGTTCATGCATGTTGTAGTATATATCAGAACTTTATTGCTTTTTATGCCTGAATAATATTCTATTATATGTAATACCACAATTCATTTATCCGTTCATCTTTTGATGAACACCTGGGTTGTTTTCATCTTTTGGCTATGGGGATAGTGCTGTTGTGAACATTGGCAAACAAGTATATGTTCAAGTTCTTGCTTTCATTTCCATTGGTTATGCACTTAGGAATGGAAATGTGGGATCATATGGCAATTCTGTGTTTCACATCTTAAGAAATTAAACTGTTTAAGAGTTTTATGGTTTTAGTTCTTATACTATAGATAAAGAACTATAGTTCTTTATACTATAGATCTATTTTGAGTTCATTTTTGTATGTGGTGTGAGGTACGAGTTCATTCTTACTGCTTAATTATGAATACATGGAATTTAAAATTTTTCTATTTAAAGATATTACTGGAAATGTTATTCCAAGCCTGAAGTAGCCATTTGCCTAACATTAGGACACTTACCATTTTCTTTTATCCTGTAAAGATATCCTAACATTCACAATATAACCACATACAATATTGCTTTTTATTAATTATTTCTGACAGGTATCTTTTATATCCAAACAACACTAGTATTGATGAAGAGATCTTTTAGGCTTGTGGGCCTTCATCAAACAGTACTTTTTGATTTAAAAAAAGTGAATTCAGTAAAATATGCGAGGCCTTATAACAGTTCAAATGTAAGGCAACTAACTGTTCTTTGCTGATGAGTAACTTTGGTTTAAAAAAATAACTTGCCATATGGAAGTTAAGATGTGGGAACATGGGTTTGATTTTGTGCTATTCATGTATATTGGAGGTGATCTCAACTCTGTGCTAATTCAAACAATTTATATTTCCAGGTAAAAATAAACTTTAGAATTTGTAGAAAATTCATATGCTAGTGTTGCATCCTGAAATTATTATTTGTCTCCAAATTAAAGTGAAAAGTGATTCAATAGAGAAACACCTTGATTCCCCATATCTGTCAGTTGATAAAGTAGCTATTGCAGAATTCTACAACAGAGAGAAGGAAGAGTGAGATAGTAAATAGAAGAGTAGCGTTTATGAGTTCAATTAAAACTTTAAAGAACAGATAATTCCTGTCTTATTTCCTCATTATTTAAATTGTATCTAAACACAGGATGAAGAAAACATCTGAACTCAATCTATAAAGATAACAAAACCTTCATACCAAAGTGGAATAAAAATAACAAGGAGACTATAGACCTAATCATATGTGAAAATATATGTAGAAATATTGAAATAATATGCAAAAACTTGATACAGCATCAAGTTTTTTCTAAATGTACACCTCTTCCTAAGCGAAACTGATTTTAAGAATTCAAGAACGGTAAATTTTAGACATCCTTTAATTTCATTTTTATCATTATTAGGTAAATCACAAAAGATTATATGGTCATCTTGATGTATGCCAAAAAGACATAAAATTCAGTGTATTTTTTTCCTTCTAAGGATACATAGTAAACTAGAATGAAAGAAAAATTTTAAACATGGTAAAATGTGTTTATCACAAAAACCAACAAATACAATAAAGCTGAAACACTGGATAAATTCTTACTAAAGACAGAAAAAAGAAAAAGATAGTTACAGTCACCATTATTTGTTCTAGAAAGTCTAACCAGCACAGACAGTTTGGGCAGTCAGTAATATGTGTCAAAAATTTGAATGTAATGATATAATTACATAGAGAGATTATATGATGGAAATATGAGAAAAGATATGAAGAATGAAATGAGAAGGTCCAAAGTACATTATATCAGAGCCCCAAAAGGAAAAAATAGAAAGAATAAAGGCAATGATCAAAGAGATAATGACTATAAAGTTTACAGAACTAATGAAAAAACACAAATCCAGAAATCCTAACGGTATAGTGTATCTCAAGAAGGATAAATAAAAGAAATATGTTTCTGAACACATGGGAATGAAATGTCAGCACTAAAGTAAGGGAACTATTGAAAGTAACCAGGGAGAAACAGCAGATCACTTACGTAGAAATGACAGCAGGCTTTTCGACAACATTGGAATAAAACAGACAATAGAACATGTAAAGCATTGAAGGAAATAACGAGAATTGTTTATTAAGCAAAATATCTTTCAAGAATAGAGATAAAGAGGGAGTAAAGCAAGTTGGCCAAATAAAAGGCTCCACCAGTCATACCCCAAACAGGAACACCAAACTTAACAACTCTCCACAGAAGAAAAGCATCTTTATCAAAACCAAAAAACAGATGAGCAGTTATAGTACCTGGTTTTAACTTCATGTTGCTGAAGGAGACACTGAAAGGGATAGGAAACACAGTCTTGAATTACCAACACCACCCCTCCCCAGTCATACCCCAGCAGCAACTGGCTGCATGGCATGGAGAGAGAATCTGTGCATTTGGGAGAGGAACAGCACAGTGATTGTGAGACGTAGCATTGGACACAGTGCTGCCCTGTCACAGCAGAAAGCAACACCAGGCTTAACTCAACTGAATACTGCCCATAGAGGGACCATTTGGACCAGCCCTACACAGAGGGGAACCACTAATCCCTGCGATTGGAAAGTGAGTTTTGGCAAGCCTTGCCACCACAGGCTAAAGTCCTTTGCAGCCCAAAATAAATTTGAAAGGCAGTCTGCGCTCCAAGAACTACAATTCTTGGGCAAGTCCTAGTGCTGACCTGGGCTCAGATACAGTGGGACGTGGGGGCACATGACCTACTAAGACACCAGCCAGGACAGCTAAAGGAGTGCTTGCACCATCCCTTCCCCATGCCTCAGGCCACATAGCTCACAGCTCCAAAAGAGACCCCATGCTTCTGCTTGAGGAGAGGGAACAGTAAAGGGGACTTTGTCTTGCATTTGGAAACCAGCTCAGCCACAGTAGGATAGGACACCAGGCAGAGTCATGAGGCCCCCTTTCCAGGCCTTAGCTCCCGGACAACATTTCTAAACACACCCTGGGCCAGAAGGGAACCTGTTGCCTTGAAGGGAAGGACTCAGTCCTGGCAAGATGCATCAACTTTTGACTAAAGAGACCTTGGATCCTCCAAGGTCCAGCAGTGATACCCATATAGTATGCCATGTGCCTTAGGTGAGCCTCTGAGACATGCTGGCTTCAGGTGAGACCCAGCACATTCCTAGCTTTGATAGCTATCGTGAGAGACTCTTTCTGCTTGAGAAAAGCAGAGAAAAAGTAAAGGGGATTTTGTCTTGCACCTTAGGGGAGTAGAGCACCAAGTGGGCTCTTGGGGACCTGATTTCAGGCCTTGGAGCTTGGACAGCATTTCTGAACCTGCCCTGGGCCACAGGGGAGTCCACTGCCCTGAAGAGTGAGTCCCATGCCTGGCAGCATTCACCACAAACTGACTGCAGAGCCCTTGGGCCTAAAGGAAACATCAGTGTTAGCCTGACAGTACTCCCCTTGGGTCTGTTGTGGTGGTGGCCATAAGGTGAGGCTCCTCTGCCTGTGGAAAATAGAGGGAAGAGTGGGAAGGACTGTGTCTCATGATTTGAGTGCCAACTCAGCTTCAGTAAAATAGAACACCAGGTAAATGTCTAAGGTTTTTTTTAATTCCAGTCCCTCGCTCCCAGACAGCATCTCTGGACCTACCCTGGGCTGGGATAACTCAACACCTTAAAGGGAAGGACACAAGCCTGTCTGACTTCACATCTGTTAATCGTACAGCCTTAGTGCCTTGATTGAACATAGACAGCAGCCAGATAGTGGTTACAGTAGGCCTTGGGTAAGACCCAGTGCTGTGCTGGCTTCAGGTCTGACCCAGCTGACCCATACTACTGGTGATGGCCACTGGTGTTTGTATCAACCCACCATCCCCAGCTCCGGAAGCACAGCACAGAGAGAGACTCCATTTGTTTGGGAGAAAATAAGAGAAGAGAACAAGAGTCTCTGTGTGGTAATACAGATAATTTTTCTGGACTTTAACCAAGACCACCAAAGTGGTATCTCTGCAAGTCTGCAAGAACTATAGCATTACTGGGCTTGGGGCCGAAGTCCCTTCAAATACCTGGAAAGCCTTTCTGAGAGAGACAGGTGCCAACAAGCCCAGATTGCGAAAGCTAATAAATACCTAACTCTTCAATGCCAGAAACACTGACAAACATCTACAAGTATCACGATCACCCAGGAAAACATCACCTCACACTACAAACTAAATAAGGCACTAGGGAATAAGCTTGAAGAAACAGAGATATGTGATCTTTTAGATAGAGAATTCAAAATAGATATTTTGAGGAAACTCAAATTCAAGATAACACAGAGAAGGAATTCAGAATTCTGTCAGATAAACTTAGCAAAGAGATTGAAATAATAATTTAAAAGAAACAAACAGAAATTCTAGACATGGAAAATGCAATTGACACACCCAAGAATGCATCAGTCTCTTAATAGCAGAATCGATCAATCAGAAGAAAGAATTAGTGAGCTTGAAGAAAGACTAATTGAAAATACACAGTTAGAGGAGACAAGAAAATAAAAAAGGATGAGGTATGCCTACAAAATGTAGAAAATAGGCTCAAAAGGGTAAATCTAAGAGTTATTGGCCTTAAAGAGGAGGTAAAGAAAGAGATAGGAGTAGAAACTTTATTCAAAGGGATAATATGAGAGAACTTCCAAACCTCGAGAAAAATATCAACATTGTGCAAGAAGGTTATAGATAACACTAAGCAGATTTAACTCAAAGACTACCTCAAGGCATGTGAATAATTAAACTCCCAAAATTCAAGGATAAAGAAAGAATCCTAAAAGCACCAAGAGAAAAGAAACAAATGACATACAACGGAGCTCTACTACATCTGGCAGCAGAGGTTTCAGTGGAAAACTTACAGGACAAAAGAAAGTGGCATGACATATTTAAAGTGCTGAAGGAAAAAAGTTTTGCTCTAGAACAGTATATCTGGTGAAAATATCCTTCAGGCATGAAGGAGAATAAAGACTCTCAGACAAACAAAAGCTAAGAGATTTCATCAACACCAAGATTTCATCAACACCAAACCTATCCTACAAGAAATACTAAAGGGAGTTCTTCAGTCTTAAAGAAAAGGATGCTAATGAGCAATAAAAAATATCATCTGACAGTGCAAAACTCACTGGTAGTAGTAAGCACCCAGAAAAACAGAATATTTTAAGACTGTGATTGTGGTGTGTAAACTACTCTTATCTCAAGCAGAAAGACTAAATAATAAACGAATCAACGATAATAACCGCAACAACTTTTCAAGACGTAATAAGACATAAAGAGACACAACAAAAAGTTAAAAAGCGGGGACACAATTAAAGTGTAGCATTTTTATGAGTTTTCTTTTTGCTTATTTGTTTCTATATGCAATCAATGTTGTCATCAGTTTAAAATAATGTGTTATAGTATTTGCAAGCCTCATGGTAACTTCCAATCAAAAAAACCTACAATAGCTACAAAAAAATATATAAAGCAAGAAATTAAAACATACCACCAGAGAAAATCACTTCCACAAAAAGGAATACGGGAAGGAAGAAAAGAAGGAAGAGAAGACCACAAAACAACCAGAAAACAAGTAACAAAATGGCAGGTGTAAGCCCTTTACTTAATAATAACATTGAATTATAAATGGACCAAACTCTCAAATCAAAAGACAGAGTGGCTGAATGAATGAAAAAACAAGACTCAATGTTCTGTTACCTGTGAGAAACACAGTTCACCTGTAAAGACAAATATAAACTGAAAATAAAAAGATGGAAAAAGATATTCCATGCCAGTGGAAACCAAAAAAGAGCAGGAGTAGCTAAGGCAAAATAGTTTTCTAAACAAAAACTGTAAGAAGAGACAAAGTCATTATATAATGATAAAAGGGTGAATTCAGCAATGAACCCAATGCTGGAGCATACAGATATATAAAGAAAATATTATTAGAGCTAAAGAGAGAGATAGATTCCAATACAATAATAACTGGAGACTTCAACACCCTACTTTCAGCATTAGGCAGATCATGCAGACAGAAAATCAACAAGGAAACATCAGACTTAATCAGCACTATAGAACAAATGGACCTAATAGATGTTTACAGAATATTTTATCCAATGGTGGCAGAATACACATTATTCTCCTCAGAACAGAGATAATTCTAAAGGATAGACCATATGTTGGGTCACAAAACAAGCCTCAAAACATTCAAAAAAATTGAAATGATAGCAAGCATCTTTTCTGACCACAATGGAATACAACTGGAAATCAATAACGAGGAATGTTGGAAACTATACAAACACGTGGAAATTAAACAAGATGCTCCTGAATGATCAATGGGTCAATGAAGGAATTAAGGAAACTGAAAATTTTCTTGAAACAAATGACCAAATATGCCAAACATACCAAAACATATGGGACACAGCAAAAGCAGTACTGAGGGAATTTTATAGCTATAAGTGCCTACATCAAAAAAAGGAAAAAATTCAAATAAATAACCTAATGATGCATCTCAGAGAACTAGAAAAGCAAGAGCAAACAAAACCCAAAAGTAGTAGAGGAAAAGAAAGAATAACGATCAGAACAGAGATAAATGAATTTGAAATGAAGGAAATACAAAAAGATCAACAAACTGGAAAGCTTGTTTTTTGGAAAGTTAAGCAAGATTGACAAACCTTTAACCAGAATAACTAAGAAAAAAGGAGAGAAGATACAAATAAACAAAATCAAAAATGGAAAAGGAGTCATTACAATTGATACTGCATAAAGTCAAATAATCATTAGTGGCTACTATGAGCAACTATATACCAAAAAGTTAGAAAACCCAGAAGAAATGGACAAGTTTCTAGACAGATACAACCTATCAAGGCTTAACCACAAAGAAATCCAAAACCTGAACAGAGCAATAACAAATATCAAGATTGAAGCTGTAAAAAAAAGTATCCCAGTGAAGAAAAGCCTGAGATCCAATTCCCTGCTGAATTCTACAGAACATTTAAGGAAGAACTAATACCAATCTTACTCAAAGTATTCCGAAATACAAGGAGGAGGGAATACTTCCAAACTCATTCTATGAGACCAGTGTTACCCTGATACCAAAATCAGGCCAAGACATGTAAGAAAGAAAAGAAAAGAAAATTACAGGCCAATATCTCTGATGAATATTGATACAAAAATCCTCAACAAAATACTAGCAACCCAAATTCAACAGTACATTAAGATCATTCTCATAACCAAAAGGGATTCTTGGCAAGCGTACAAGGATGGTTCAACCTACATCATACATCCTATCAACAGAATGAAGGACAAAAACTATATGATCATTTTACTTGATGCTGAAAAATCATTTGCTAAAATTCAAACTTGCTGCATGATAAAAATCCTCAAAAAAACTGGGTGTAGAAGGAACATCCTTCAACATAATAAGAGCTATATGCAGCAGACCCACATCTGGTATCATAGTGAAATGGGAAAAACTGAAAGCATTTCCTCTAAGATCTGCAACATGACAAAGATGCCTACTGTCAGCACTATTATTCAGCGTACTACTGGAAGTCCCAGCTACAGCAGTCAGAGAAGAGAAAGATATAAAGGGCATCCACATTGGAAAGGAAGAAGTCAAATTATTCTTGTTTTCAGATGATATGATATTATATCTAGAAAAAAACTAAAGACTCCACCAAACAACTATTAGAACTGAGAAGCAAATTCAGTAAAGTGGCAGGTTACAAAATCAACATACAAAAATCAGTAGCATTTCTATATGCCAACAGTGAACAATCTGAAAAAGAAAAAAAAAAAAGTCCCATTTACAATAGCCACAGAGAAAATTAAATACCTAGGAATTAACTTAAAGAAGTAAAAGATCTCTATAATGAAAACTGTAAAACTGATGAAAGAAATTGCAGAGGACACCAAAAACTGGAAAGTTATTCCATGTTCATGGGTTGGAAAAATTAATATTGTTAAAATGTTCATACTACCCAAAGCAATCTACAGATTCAATGCAATCCCTATCAAAACACCAATGACATTCTTCACAGAAAGAGAAAAAAAATCATAAAATTTATCAGGAACCGCAAAAGACCCAGAATAACCAAAGCTATCCTAAGCAAAAAGAACAAAACTGGAGGAATCATATTACCTGACTTCAAAGTATATTATAGAGCTATAGTAGCTAATACAGCATGGTACTGGCATAAAAACAGACACATAGACCAATGGAACAGAATAGAGAATCTAAAAATAAATTTATACACCTACAGTGAACTCATTTTTGACAAAGATGTCAAGAACATGCACTCAGGAAAAGACAGTCTCTTCAACAAATGGTGCTGGGAAAACTGAATATTTATATGCAGAAGAATGAAACTAGACCCCTATCTCTTGCCATACAAAAATCAAATCACAGTAGATTAAAAACTTAAATCTAAGACCTCAAAACTGTGAAACCATTACATGAAAACATTGAGGAAACTCTCCTGGATATTGGTCTGTGCAAAAATTTCTTGAGTAATATCTCATAAGCACAAGCAACCAAAGCAAAAATGGACAAATGGGATTACAAATTTAAAAGCTTCTGCAGAGCAAAGGAACAATCAACAAAATGAAGAGAGAACCCACAGAATAGGAGAAAATATTTGCAAACTACCCACCTGACGAGGGATTAATAACCAGAATATGTAAGAAGCTCAAACAACTCTATAGGAAAAAGATCTAATAATCCAATTAAAAATGGGCAAAAGATCTGAATAGACATTTCTCAAAAGAAGATGTACAAATGGCAAACAGGACTATGAAAAGATACTCAGCATCATTGATTATCAGAGAACTACAAATCAAAACCACAATGAGATATCATTTCACCCCAATTAAATGGCTTTTATCCGAAAGACAGGGCATAACAAATACTGGTGAGGACTAGAGAAAAGGGAACCCTTGTACACCATTGGTAGGAATGTTAAGTTAGTACAACCACCATGGAGAACAGTTTGGAGGTTTCTTGGAAAACTAAAAATGGAGCTACCATATGATCCAGCATTCCCACTGCTGGTTATGTACCCAAAAGAATGGAAATCAAGGCCAGGTGCGGTGGCTCATGCCTGTAATCCCAGCACTTTGGGAGGCCAAGACAGGCAGATCACCTGAGGTCAGGAGTTCAAGACCATTCTGGCCAACATGGTAAAACCCTGTTTCTACTAAAAATATAAAAATTAACCGGGCATGGTGGCACATGCTTGGAATCCCAGTTACTCGGGAGGCTGAGACAGGAGAATCACTGAAACCCAGCGGGTGGAGATTGCAGTGAGCCGAGACTGTGCCACTGCACTCAAGTCTGGGCAACAGAGCGAGACTCTGTCTCAAAAAAAAAAAGTGGAACTCAGTATTTCCAAGGAATATCTGCACTCCCATGTTTCTGGCAGCACTGTTCACAATAGCCAAGGTGTGGAATCAACCTAAGTGTCCATCAGCAGATGAATGGATAAAGAAAATGTACATCTACACAATGGAATTCTATTTGGCCATATAAAGAATAAGAACCTGTTATTTCCAACAACATGGATGAAACTGGAGGTCATTATGTTTGTGAAGCCAGGCACAGAAAGACAAACTTCACATGTTCTCACTCATTTGTGTGAGCTAAAAATGAAAACAACTGAACGCATGGAGATATATAGTAGAAGGATGATTACCAGCTGAGGATGGTAGTGGGGAAGTAAGGGGACTAAGTATAAAAAGTAGTTAGAAAAAAATGAGTAAAACCTGGTATTGGATAGCACAACAGGATGACTGTAGTCAATAATAATTTAATTATATATTTTTAAATAAAAAATATAATTGGATTGACTAACACAAAGGATAAATGCTTGAGGGGATGGATATTCCATATACCATGATGTGATTATTATGCATTGCATGCCTTTATCAGAGTGTCTCATGTACTTCCCAAATTTATGCAGTACCTACTGCATACCCAGGAAAATTAAAAATTTTTCAAATTTTTTAAACTAAATTATTCAAAGAAGATTACAAAAAGTCTGATAGTCTCTGGGCAATTTGTGTTAATACAAAAAAAATTAAAACCAGGAAAGAAAACCCTGAGAGATCAGGAGATAACATACTCTTCATAGAGATATGAAGCATTTCTTTGTTTTCTGTGCTTTCTTAGAAGCAAACCTGATTAGGTACAGAAGAAGCCTATATATGTCCTTATTACAGTGTTGAGTAAAATGTCAGTTTCCATCTATCGCATTTATTGTTCCTGATTTGAATACCCTCTTCTCTTGGATACTTAATTTTTATTCTGTGAAAAGAAATGGAAGAGAGGATCTGAGTTTAGGTTATTCATAATCATCTCAATATAAAATAGTATTGCCTGCTTACAAAATCTTTCAAGTTTATTTTGGAAGCCTAAATTTTTAAATAATTTTTGTTGATTAATTCTTAAGTTTGGCTTGGCTCTTTTATTACCTGAGACACTCTTAAGTGTATAACTTTGAAAGCATAACATTGAACATCAAGGTAGCATCAAAGGAGGAAATGTATAAATGTGCAGTCTCAGTAGTGTTTTTACGTATGTGTGTGTTAGTGGGGGTAGTCATTTCTACCCATTCTGACCAGGTAATTAAGTGTGGTTGGTGCCAGTAGATACAACCAGTTTCTTCTACCCCACTCCCACCAGCTGCCCTAATAAAGTCACTTTTCAGTTGCCTGTTGTCCAAACCTGAAAAACAATCCCAATCCTAGGGTGTATAGTATTATTAACTATAGTCACCATATTATGCATTAGATTTCCTGAACTTTTTTCCTCCATATCTACATATCAACTTCTGAAGAACAGGAATGAGTAACTCTTTTTTTTAACGTAGGTTGAAAGACATACCTAGCCAATATTCTACCATTAACGAATACATACATATTCCATATATAAAAATGTTAACAATCCATAGGAATATCAATATTCTTTCATCTTTTCCTGGAATGAGATACAAAGTAGTACTGTTTATATAAGTGGAATATGAAGATACGTATTCTCATGAAAATCTCTTATAAAAAGTGATTTGTTCACCTGAGTGCCCAAGTTTTATGGTTAGATAATTTAATTATCAGATTAATGTTTAGATAAAAGTTATTGAAAAATAATATGTAAAGAGAAAAGTTGTGATGCTAACGAGTGTTCACTGCTATGTACTTGAGTTGGTTCTTGAACAGGGGTTGGGATCTAAATGTTAGCAAATACAGTGAGATTTTTCATAGTTAAAGTGAAAAAAACTTGAAAATCTTTCAAATACATATTAATCTCAGTAAGCCAAACAACCAGTTTTTACCCCAGCATTGAAATAAATTCTTTGGTTGAATTAGGTAAATTGGTTGGCATGCTTTATAAAGAGGAATAATTACCTTTAAACATTAGAACCTTAGCTGGCACAGCAATTCATTAACCATTGGAACTGAGGTAAACTGTGAAAACTACCAACTCAGACACCATTTCATGCTCACTGCAAAGTATATGTTCATTGAATGGAATGGAAAACAAAATGCCTGCAGTATGTAAATTTGTACTCTTTTCTTCCTGTGTCCTTCCTACCATGGTACTGTCTCCTTTGACCTTTCATCACAACCAGATCTTATTTAAATATTGTACAATTTGAACTGAAAAAAAAAATGGAGCATCTTCTCTTCACATGAAACGTTATCTGCTTCTTCCAGGAATTGAAGAAGATGTAAATATTTAAGAATATTAAAACCCCAAGAAAAGATGTTCATTAGCAATAAGATAATATCTCTCAAGTAAAAGTGAGATGCCTTTTACAATTACCTTGATTTCCAGATTGCATCTTCTCTGTGTAGCAGTAGTCTTTGACCATTTGGTTGTATTATTATAAGTTGATGTGGTTATGATTGTTTGAAAGTTGTTTGTAACTAAAATAAAAATAAAATCTGTAAATGAATGGTTTTAATTAATTAGACTAAATTCGAGACTGCTTTTACAATAATGTGACTCTTACTTCCGTTCTGCTCTGTTTCTTGAATGAGAAAAAAATAGATTTATAACAAGTACTCCTTGAACATCCTTGGGAGTTTGTCGTGGATGTAACTTTTATCCACTACATGATGTCCCAAGAAAAATATTTTAAGGATACCTACTCTGTACCATAGAATACTTATAGGAGCAGCCTCAGAATTGTTAGTTTATTATAACCCTTTTTAAAAATGTAAAATGAAATTAATGTGTTTGTCCTTTAATAAGCAGAAGTCAGGAAAATGTAACTGGCTGGCATTAAACTGCCTATTTTTACCTAATTTATCTCCTCACTAAATCTATATTCTGTTCTGATGAAGGATTCTCACATTTATGTCAGTCTACAAAGTTGAACATAAAGTGATTATAAAGATAAGACCAAATGGTACATATTGTCATTAATCTACATCATTCCTTCCATCAGCAGTATGTTTTTCAAAGTATGGTCTTCTGACCAGCATCAGAAGCGTCACCTGGAAACTTGATAGAAATGTAAATTTTCACCTGGAAACTTGTTAGAAATGTAAATTTTGAGGCACCTAGACATTCTGAATCAGAATCTCTGGAAGTGGGGCCCAGCAATCTGTATTTTAACAAGGCTTCTAGAAGATTCTGATGCACACTAAAGTTTGAGAAACACTGCTCTAACTACATCTCACTTTGATAACTTAACAAAGTTATTATTAATAGTAGTCATTAGCTGGTATTTCAAAGATAGTCTTTGTTATTTATTTAAGATTATTTAATCAGCAGAGGGCACTGCAGTAATTGTTAAGGAGGAAATTTTATTAAATCTACCTAATCAGGTTACAAGCACATGAGTACTAATATATAAATTTGTCTGCTCTGTTAATAAAATCATGTCTATAAAAATAAGTGAAAGCACTATACTAAGTGATTTTTCACAGAGTCACTATGCATGTAAAGTATTTCTGCACATTTAGATATATCTATTATATGTTCTTTACGGGTTTTTTTAAGACAGAGTCTCACTCTGTTGCCCAGACTGGAGTTCAATGGCACGATTTCGGCTCACTGCAGCCTCTGCAACCCGGGTTCAAGCGATTCTCCTACCTCAGGCTCTTGAGTAGCTGGAACTACAGGGGCATGCCACCACGCCGGGCTAATTTTTGTATTTTTAGTAGAGACAGGGTTTCACCATGTTGGCCAGGCTGGTCTCAAACTCCTGACCTCAAGTGATCCGCCCACCTTGGCTTCCCAAGGTGCTGGAATTACAGGCATGAGCCACCATGCCCAACCATATGTTCTGTACATTTTTAAACATCATTGTCTGTTAGCAATATCTTTTTTAAGGTCATTTTTCCTATGAAGTTAAAATATGAACAATTTCATCAACAAGATACCTGAATTACTGAATCATTGTTTTTGACACTGTTTTTACAGCTTAGCAGTCTTTGAAGCGTCTTTCTGACTTTAATGTTGTCCTCAAAGTATCAAGAAAAAAAAAGGAAAAGATCACAATTATGTGATTTTTCACAGAAGTTTGCAACTTTCATATTGGAAAAATATTTAGACGTCAAAGATAAATATTTTATTTAAAAAGAATAGCTAAGTCCAATTAAACCTTTATATTTTAGACCGACTAGTTCAGAAATACTGATACCTGAAGTAAGACTATAAATTTCTACCATCTTTCAAGGAATAAAAGAATCTGGTAATCAAATTAATAATGTATAAGAGGGAAACAGAACTTTAAGCTAGTTAAGGAAAAAATGGTTTCAAGCTTTTAATGGCATCTTTTTGCCATTGATAATGAACAGTCTGTTAATAATGAATACTTGTGTTATCTATTCATTAACAGATACAGATAACCTTTATTTGTCTGTATTGTACTAGCATATGTGATTGAAAGTGATAAAGCTACATTCTTCAAACCATTCTTCTGTTCAGATTTTCTAATAAACAGGTATCTTTCTCTTGTTATATTTGTAATTAAGTTTTATTCTCTTATTCTTTGTTTTCTAGTTGCATCTCCCCATTTATAGTTTACAGGTCTTTGTACTCAGCTCTTGCTCTCTTGTCCATCTTCCAGTCCCCATCTCATTCGCTGCCTGCTCCCTAGTTTAGATCCCTAATTTCAGTATTCTACTTCCTACGTGGCATTTGCCAGTGCTCTTGCATCTGGGTTCTTGCTCTCCATTCTCTTTTTCCTAGTCTTTGGTTCTCTACTACTCTTTGCAGGTAGTTTCTGGATTTTTGTATTATTTCTGTTCTCTAACTGATATGTGCAGAACTGCAAGGATGTAAGAAGAATTGGAAAGTAGAAGCATAGAAAGAGCTAACATGTATTGAATACCTATTCTATGCTAAGTGATTTATCATTTAGTTCTCAGAGCCCTCTTATAAGATGTAGGTATGTTTTATTATTACCTCCATTATATTCATAAGTACTCTGGAAACTTAGGTTAAATATTTTATTCTAATTCACATAGCAAAACTACATAGTAAAGCCAAGTTTCACATCTAGATTGGTTTATTTATTCCTTCACTTCTTTATTCAACAAATATTTGTTGAGCACATACTATATGTTGGGCTCCGAACTAGATGCTGAAATAGATCCAGCTCCTATTGTTATTGCCCTTAACTGTGTAATGTCATTTTCTGACTTCATAGATGATGATCTTTTACTACACCAAACAGCTTAAGAGGAAGAGAAAATAAAAGGAAAATAGAAGGGTTCTAATGTTTTATGTAAAATGTTTGATACAAACGTGAGAAAGACTGTGTTTGTGCTTGATTTAAGAATACCCTATTGAAAAGAACAGTTTGTATCTAGCATAGAGAGTCTGACATCCACCTACCCCAACCAACTCACCACCATCAGCATCAATGCCTTTCAGTGGCATCACCATGATATATTTTTTCTTTTATGTTCTAAAACATATAAGGTTTGTGTCTCTATGCCCAAATTCTTCAGAAGATCTTCAGAAAGAATTAACTGTCCTGCCTGAATTATGTTTAGAGAAAGATGAAGAACTTTGTAAAGAATACAGTCAGCCCTGCAGAACCCCTAACTACTGTATTTTCGATCCTCAGTTGATTGAATCCACAGATGTTGAACCAGCAATATGGAGAGCAACTGTACCTACACTGTGATCCATCCATCTATATATTTTTATACCCTGAAAAATATTTTAGATGGCTTACCCAAATACATAAATACAACAGAATTTTTAAAAATATAAATGTGAAGAGTAGGACAGAGAAAAATCAGATGAAACTAAAGTTGTGTTCAGTAAGCCTACTGAAAGGTATTCACAAATTTGTTCTCAAGGATAACTTGATTCACAAGCATTGTAATTTAAAAACAAACTGGTAACATAGAAAAGTATCCATTCCTAGTTATGATACTTGAAAGGAAATTTCTCCTGTAGGTCCTCCTAAAGACCACAGTGTAATACGGTGAACAATTCAGATGCTTCCTAATGTAAATAAGAGTTTGAGCCATTTTATTGATTCTGATTTCATACCACAGAAGCAAAGCCCAATAAACCAATTCTATAAAAAGTGAAATGAGGCATTCAAAGTAGATCACTCTCCAGTGGTCTGGCAAAATCCAGTGGTATGTTTTAGAGGATTTAGAAAAATTAATGAACCACATCTCTTTTAGGCAATTCTCACGTATCATTTGTCAATTGAGTTTTTCATGTGCTGGGTGACAGTGAGCTTACACGCTCTCTGAGGTTTGTTCTACTCACTACTGTAACATCAATACCTCAGATACTACCTAGTACATAGTAGATGCTTAATAAATATTCGTTATTTAAATGGATAAATGTTGTGCTTTGAAGTATCAATTTTAAGTGAAATACTCCCTTTCAGCTATCTGTTGATATTTCCCTTCATGTCCCTGAATAAAGTGTGCTACTATACTTTGGGATATATCATCTTTATGTGAAGCCCCGAATTCATGAAATGTCAACCATTGCTTATATAACTTTTTCAAGCAAGTAATGAAATAAATATTAACACTATCCAAGAAGTTCCTTTAATATTGTTAACAGTGACATCCCCTTGCTTGATGTTTAGGGCTCTGATTTTAACATCCTTGAGAAGGTGTTAACCTCCATAAAGCAATTTATAACATAGAAGTAGTGTTTCGTCTTGGTAAGTCTCAAAATCATAACAGATAGATTGGCTTTGGAAAATAAGTAATAAAGATTGGATAATGACATGGATGAAGCTGGAAGCCATCATTCTCAGCAAACTAACACAGGAACAGAAAATCAAACACTGCATGTTCTCACTCATAACTGGGAGTTGAACAATGAGAACACATGGACACAGGGAGGAAAACAACACACACTGGGGCCTGTCGGCGGGGTGAGGGGGAAGGGGAGGGAGGGTATTGGGACAAATACCTAATACATGCAGAGCTTAAAACCTAGATGACGGGTTGACAGGTGCAGCAAACCACCATTGCACATATACCTATGTAACAAACCTGCACATTCTGCACATGTATACCGGAGCTTAAAGTAAAATTTAAAAAAAAATTTAAATACGTAAAAAAAGATGGGATAATGCCAGCAAAGTCCTTACGTTTTTGTTAGTTTTTCTTTAAAATGTCTCCCATTGTTAAATATCCTGTTATGCTAGGATTCACTGTACCAGTAAATTGCATCAATTCTGCTAATCCTGTATTCTGTATAATTGGAAGGGATTAACTAATTTATATGCGTTCTAAACTTTATTTATAACATCAATTAGCATCTAATACATACCTGATGCATTTTAACTGCTTTTGCCCAGAGCTACAATCTTATTGAAGAGTAGCATTCTACTTTCAAAGAAATATTGAAATATAAACCTTTCTCTCTATACCTTCATAATTTACTTTTTGTTTGCCTTTCTACTTATTTACTGTAATACTTCATTTTGCAAACTTTATTTTTGTATTGCTTCCAACTATTATAACTTGCTTAATTTTTGGAAACAGAGGACTGGAAATGGATTAAGTCATGTATTTCACCCTCAAGTTTTAGCCTAAAATGTATCTTGACCATTATACAGTAAAATATATACCTATTTTGATTGACCCTTCAAAAATGAAATTTTCTTGTCTTTAGGAAAATTTAGGAGACTTTAGGAAAATGAAATTTTCCTTTCATTAGTGTATTCCAGATTTAACTGTACTTATCTTAAGAATGCCGTATCCTCCAGGCATGGTGGCTTATGCCTGTAATCCCAGTACTTTGGGAGGATGAGGTGGGCAGATCACCCTGAGGTCAGGAGTTCGAGACCAGCTTGGCCAACATGGTGAAACCCCATCTCTACTAAAAGTACAAAATTAGCCAGGCATGGTGGTGCGCACCTGTAATCACAGCTACTCGGAAGGCTGAGGTAGGAGAAACACTTGAACCCGGGAGACGGAGTTTGCAGTAAGCCGAGATCGTGCCACTGCACTCCAGGCAAAAAGAGCAAAACTTTGTCCCAAAAAAAAAAAAAAAAGGGTGCCCTATCCTAAAACTCCTAGTATATAGGTAAACCCCTTCACATCATTAATTTTTTATTTAAAAAAGACGGTTGGGCAAGATGGCCAAATAGGAACAGCTCCAGTCTGCAACGCCCAGCAAGATCAACGCAGTAGGCAGGTGATTGCTGCATTTTCAACTAGGTACACGGCTCATATCGTTGGGACTGGTTAGACAGTGGGTGCAGCCCATGGAGGGTGAGCTGAAGCAGGGTGAGGCATTGCCTCACACAGGAAGCACTAGGGATCAGGGAAGTCCCTCCCCTTGCCAAGGGAAGCCATGAGGAACTGTGCATTCCGGCCCAGATACTATGCTTTTCCCACAGTCTTTGCAAACCGCAGACCAGGAGATTCCCTCGGGTGCCCACACCACCAGGACCCTGGGTTTGAAGCACAAAACTGGGAGGCCATTTGGGCAGACACCAAGCTAGCTGCAAGAGTTTTTTTTCATAACCCAGTGGCGCCTGGAATGCCAGTGAGACAAACTGTTAACTCCCCTGGAAAGGGGGCTGAAGCCAGGGAGCAAATTGGTCTAACTCAGCAGATCCCACCCACACAGAACCCAGCAAGCTAAGATCCACTGGTGTGAAATTCTCATTGCCAGCACAGCAGTCTGAAGTCGACCTGGGGCACTCCAGCTTGGTGTGGGGAGGGGGCGTCCACCATTACTGACGCTTGAGTGGGCAGTTTTCCCCTCACAGCATAAACAAAGCAGCTGGAAGTTCGGACTGGACAGAGCCCACCACAGTGTGGCAAAGCTGCTGTAGCCAGACTGCCTCTCTAGATTCCTTCTCTCTGGGCAGGACATCTCTGAAAGACAGGAGCCCCAGGCAGGGGCTTATAGATAAAACTCCCATCTCCCTGGGACAGAGCACCTGTGGGAAGGGGCGGATGTGGGCGCATACTTAAACTTAGTTCCTTCCTGCCAGCTCCTAAGAGAGCAGCAGATCTCCCAGCACAGGGCTCAAGCTCTGCTAAGGGACAGACTGCATCCTCAAGTGGGTCCCTGACCCCCATGCCTCCTGACTAGGAAACACCTCCCAGCAGGGGTTGACAGACATGTCATACAGGAGAGCTCTGGCTGGCATCAGGTGAATGCCGCTCTGGGACGAAGCTTCCAGAGGAAGGAATTGGCAGCAATCTTTGCTGTTCTGCAGCCTTTGCTAGTGATACCCAGGAAAACAGGGTCTAGAGTGGACATCCAGCAAACTCCAGCAGACCTGCAGCAGAGAGGCCTGACTGTTAGAAGGAAAACTAATGAACAGAGAGGAATAGCATCAACATCAACAAAAAGGATTTCCACACAGAAACCCCATCCAAAGGTCACCAACATCAAAGAGCAAAGGTAGATAAATCCACAAAGATGACCAAAAAACAGCACAAGAAGGCTGAAAATTCCAAAAACCAGAACACATCTTCTCTTCCAAAGGATCACAACTCCTCGCCAGCAAGGTATCAAAACTGGAGGGAGAATGAGTTTGACAAATTGACAGAAGTAGGCTTCAGAAGGTGGGTAATAAAAAACTCCTCCGAGCTAAAGGAGCATGTTCTAACCCAATGAAAGGAAGCTAAGAACCTTGAAAAAAGGTTAGAGGAATTGGTAACTAGAATAACCAGTTTAGAGAAGAACATAAATGACCTGATGTAGCTGAGAAACACAACACGAAAACTTCATGAAGCATACACAAGTATCAATAGCCGAATCAATCAAGCCAAAGAAAGAATTTCAGAGATTGAAGATCAAATTAATGAAATAAAGCATGAAGACAAGATTAAAGAAAAAAGAATGAAAAGGAATGAACAGAGCCTCCAAGAAATATGGGACTGTGTGAAAAGACCAAACCTACTTCTGATTGCTGTACTTGAAAGTGACAGGGAGAACAGAACCAAGTTGGAAAACACTCTTCAGGGTATTATCCAAGAGAACTTCCCCAACGTAGCAAGACAGGCCAGCATTCAAATTCAGGAAATACAAAGAACACCACAAAGATACTCTTTGAGGAGAGCAACCCCAAGACACATAATCATCAGATTCACCAACGTTGGAATGAAGGAATAAATGGTAAGGGCAGCCAGAGAGAAAGGTCAGGTTACCCACAAGGAAGCCCATCAAGCTAATGGCAGATCTCTCGGCAGAAACCCAACAAGCCAGAAGAGAGTGGGTGGCCAATATTCAACATTCTTAAAGAAAAGAATTTTCAACTCAGAATTTCATATCTGGCCAAACTAAGCTTCATAAACAAAGGAGAAGTAAAATCCTTTACAGACAAGCAAATGCTGAGACAATTTGTCATCACCAGGCCTGCCTTACAAGAGCTCCTGAAGGAAGCACTGAATATTGGAAGGAACAACTGGTACCAGCTACTGCAAAAACATAGCTAATTGTAAAGACCATCGACACTGTGAAGAAACTGCATCAACTAAGGGGCAAAATAACCAGCTAGCATCATGATGACAGGATCAAATTCACACATAACAATGTTAACCTTAAATGTAAATGGGCTAAATGCCCCCAATTAAAAGACAGACTGGCAAATTGGATAAAGAATCAAGACCCATTGATGTGCTGTATTCAGGAGACTGATCTCACGTGCAAAGACACACATAGGCTCAAAATAAAGGGATGGAGGAATATTTAGCAAGCAAATGGAAAGCAAAAAAAAGCAGGGGTTGCAATCCTAGTCTCTGATAAAACAGACTTTAAACCAACAAAGATCAAAAAAGACAAAGAAGGGCATTACATAATGGTAAAGGGATCAACGCAACAAGAAGAGCTAACCTAAATATATATGCACCCAATACAGGAGCACCCAGATTCATAAATCAAGTTCTTAGAGACCTGCAAAGAGACTTAGACTCCCACACAATAATAGTGGGAGACTTTAACACCCCACTGTCAATGTTAGACAGATCAACGAGACAGAAAATTAACAAGGATATTTAGGACTTACACTCAGCTCTGGACCAAGCAGACCTAATAGACATCTACAGAACTCTCCACCCCAAATCAACAGAATGTACATTCTTCTGAGCACCACATCACACGTATTCTAAAATTGAGAACATAATTGGAAGTAAAACATTCCTCAGCAAATGCAAAAGAACTGAAATCATAACAGTCTCTCAGACCACAGTGCAATCAAATTAGAACTCAGGATTAAGAAAATCACCCAAAACCGCACAATTATATGGAAACTGAAAAACCTGCTCCTGAATAACTACTGGGTAAATAACAAAATTAAGGCAGAAATAAATAAGTTCTTTGAAACCAATGAGAACAAAGACACAATAAACCAGAATCTCTGGGACACAGCTAAAGCACTCTTTACAGGGAAATTCATAGCACTAAATGCCCACAGGGGAAAATGGGAAAGATCTAAAATCAACACCCTAATATCACAATTAAAAGAACTAGAGAAGCAAGAGCAAACAAATTCAAAAGCTAGCAGAAGACGAGAAATAACTAAAATCAGAGTAAAACTGAAGGAGATAGAGACACAAAAAACCTTCAAAAAATCAGTGAATCCAAGAGCTGGTTTTTTGAAAAGATTAACAAAAGAGATAGAACACTAGCCAGACTAATGAAGAAAAGAGTGAAGAATTAAATAGATACAATACAAAATGATAAATGGGATATCACACTGATCCCACCAAAATACAAACTACCATCAGTGAATACTATAAATACCTCTATGCAAATAAACTAGAAAATCTAGAAGAAATTGTTAAATTCCTGGACACATACACCCCCCCAAGACTAAACCAGGAAGAAGTCAAATCCCTGACTAGACCAATAACAAGTTCTGAAGTTGAGGCAGTAATTAATAGCATACCAACCAAAAAAAGCCCAGAACCAGACAGATTCACAGCTGAATTCTACCAGAAGTACAAACAGGAGCTGGTACCATTTGTTCTGAAACTATTCCAAACAACAGAAAAAGAGGGAATCCTCCTTAACTTACTCTACGAGGCCAGCATCATCCTGATACCGAAACCTGAGAGAGACACAACAAAAAAAATTTCAGGCCAATATCCCCGAGGAACATGGATGCATAAATCCTCAATAAAATACTAAACCAAATCCAGCAGCACATCAAAAAGCTTATACACCACAATCAAGTCAGCTTCATCCCTGGGATGCAAGGCTGGTTCACATATGCAAATCAGTAAACATAATCCTCACATAAACTGAACCAATGACAAAAAACACATCATTATCTCAACAGATACAGAAAAGTCCTCCGATAAAATTCAGCGGCACTTCATGCTAAAAACTCTCAATAAACTAGGTATTGATGGAACGTATCTCAAAATAATAAGAGCTATTTATGACAAGCCCACAGCCAATATCATACTGATTGGGCAAAAGCTGGAAGCATTCTCTTTGAAAACTGGCACTAGACAAGGATGCCCTCTCTCACCATTCCTATTCAACATAGTATTGGAAGTTCTGGCCAGAGCAATCAGGCAAGAGAAAGAAATAAAGGGTATTCAAATAAGAAGAGAGGAAGTCAAATTGTCTGTTTGCAGATGACATGATTGTATATTTTGAAAACCCCATTGTCTCAGCCCAAAATCTCCTTAAGCTGGTAAGAAACTTCAGCAAAGTCTCAGGATACAAAATCAATGCACAAAAATCACAAGAATTCTTATACAACAATAATAGACCAACAGAGAGCCAAATCATGAGTGAACTCCCATTCACAATTGCTACAAAGAGAATAAAATGCCTAGAATATGACTAACAAGGGATGTGAAGGACCTCTTCAAGGAGAACTACAAACCACTGCTCAAGGAAATAAGAGAGGACACAAATGGAAAAACATTCCATGCTCATGGATAGGAAGAATCAATATTGTGAAAATGGCCATACTGCCCAAAGGAATTTATAGATTCAATGCTATCCCCATCAAGCTACCACTGACTTTCTTCACAGAATCAGAAAAAAACTACTTTAATATGGAACCAAAAAGAGCCCTTGTAGCCAAGACAATCCTAAGCAAAAAGAACAAAGCTGGAGGCATCACACTACCTGACTTCAAACTATACTACAAGGCTGCAGTAACCAAAACAGCATGGTACTAGTACCAAAACAGATATATAGACCAATGGAACAGAACAGAGGCCTCAGAAATAACACCACACATCTACAACCATTTTTTCTTTGATAAACCTGATAAAAACAAGCAATGGGGAAAGAATTTTCTATTTAATAAATGGTATTGGGAAAACTGGCTAGCCATATGCAGAAAACTGAAACTGGATCCCTTCCTTACACCTTATACAAAAATTAACTCAAGATGAATTAAAGACTTACATGTAAGACCTAAAACTATAAAAACCCTAGAAGAAAACAGGCAATACCATTCAAACATGGGCAAAGACTTCATGACTAAAACACAAAAAGCAATTGCAACAAAAGCCAAAATTGACAAACGGGATCTAATTAAACTAAAGAGCTTCTGCACAGCAAAAGAAATGATTATCAGAGTGAACAGACAACCTACAGAATGGGAGAAAATTTTTGCAATGTCTCTGTCTGACAAAGGGCTAATATACAGAATCTATAAAGAACTTAAACAAATTTACAAGAAAAAAACAACGCCATCAAAAAGTGGGCAAAGGATATGAACAGACACTTCTCAAAACGAAGACAGTTATGCAGCCAACAAACATATGTAAAAAAGCTAAGGGTCACTGGTCATTAGAAAAATGCAAGTCAAAAACCACAATGAGATACCATCTCATGCCAATTAGAATGGTGATCATTAAAATGTCAGGAAACCATAGATGCTGGATAGGGATGTGGAAAAATAGGAATGCTTTTATACTGTTGGTGGGAGTGTAAATTAATTCAACCATTGTGGAAGACAGTGTGGCGATTCCTCAAGGATCTAGACCCAGAAATACCATTTGACCCATTACTGGGTATATACCCAAAATATTATATATCGTCCTATTCTAAAGACACATGCACACATATGTTTATTGCAGCAATATTCACAATAGCGAAGACTTGGAACCAACCCAAATGTCCATCAGTTATAGACTAGATAAAGAAAATTTGGCACATATACACCATGGAATGCTATGCAGCCATAAAAAAGGATGAGTTTATGTCCTTTGCAGGGACATGGATGAAGCTGGAAACCATGATTCTCAGCAAACTAACACAGGAACAGAAAACCAAACACTACATGTTCTCACTCATAAGTGGGATTTGAACAATGAGAACACATGGACACACAGAGGGAAACATCACACACCAGGGCCTGTCAGGGGATGGAGGGTTAGGGGAGAGATGGCATTAGGAGAAATACCTAATATAGACGGGTTGATGGGTGCAGCAAACCACCATGCCATGTGTACGCCTATGTAACAAACCTGCACGTTCTGCACATGTACCCCAGAACTGAAAGTATATTAAAAAAAAAAAAAGTGGAGAAATCTGAAAAAAAAAAGACAGTTAATTTACACTAAAGATTAGGAAGATGGTAAATGTAGAATTTTTCCTCTAGCCAGTACATGGGGAAACCTGACATGATGACTTCTTGAGATCCTTTTAATTCTATTATAAAAGCATAGAGCTAGGAGAGATATGGATTATCTCAGGTTTTCAGAGACTAATTATTTCAAGAGTAATAGACAAAGGAAAATACCCAGATTACTTACCTGGTGAGAAATCTACTAAGTTGTTATAGCAATCTGAGGCCACATTTTTAGAATTTAAGTTATTAGTGAGATGAGATTTCTATCAAATACTTCTGAGCTATAAGCAATATGAAAGGACTGCTAATATAAAAATTTTCTTTATTTTCTTGGTCCTCAGCTTTTATTCAGTGGTCCTTGTGAATTGAGTCTGGATGCCTCAAAAAGATAAATGTTTCAGAAACTAAAAGTATGGTTATTGAAAGCCTGGTTTATAATCATTTTTAAGTGGGTTTTACTAGTCTGACTTCATTCTTTTTTGGCTTATTTCACTCAGTCTGCTATTTAATCTTTAATTACAGGCCACAAAAGAAGTAATAGAACGGGAAGCACCAGGGATGGCCCTGGCAATGCTGATGGGATCACTTAATGTTACACCTCTGGGCATGCTCTCTAGGTAAGAAAGTCACCAACATGTTGCAAACCATTTGCTAGGTGAACTGTTTCCGTGATATTAAAAAAAATCTACACTTTGGCATTGTTGTGAATATTAAATGAGCTAGTCCACATAAAGTTCTTAGCTTATACTAATCACTTAATAAATATTACCTACTATCATTGTTAAAAAAAAAAGTTAATTCCATACCACTAATCAATACACTATATTGATGAACCTAAGAAACTTTAGTCTTAACACTTAAGTTTGCCCCTTTTTTTTCCAGAGTTAAGAGCTTTAGTATTCTGTCAGCCACAATTTTCCCACTTCACTTCTTTTTGTTGTTGTTGTTGTTGTTGTTGTTGTTGCTTGTTAAGTTAAACTTTCAGAGACTGTCATATTACTACTGGTAAAAGTTATCAATTCCTAACCCAGAGAATCCAGTTTATTACTATGTAAAGTTACTGTTTTCTGTGACTGTTTATAATCATCAGTTGATATCTATTAATTGTAGGTAAATACTGATTTAATAAAACTAAACTGCCAAGTTTATTAAAATAACTTGTTCTCACAAGTTAGGAGCTTATATTCCAATTTATAAATAGCTATGTTGATGTGTTGTTGTGAAAAAAAAGAAGCTCAATTCATATTGTTAATCTTTTAATGCTTGGCAACTGGGTATATTTTAATTATTATATTACATTAATGATATACTATTATTATATGAAATTAGTCTACCTAAAACTATGCCTTTGTTGACATAGATGTTGATATCCATCCTCGATTTAATGGTACTTATTTGCTACTATTTTAGCAACTCTTAGATTTAGATCCCCTAAATGAGGACAATTACATCACTTAAGTTAAAGATAGAAGTGTCAACTTAGTCAGAAACTGTTGAAGGATTTAATGAACGTTAATTAATAGTTGATCTCAGAGCAACCTAAAAATAAATAGCAGCTGTATAGTTTCAGGGTTTCATAATTTATAGCCCTTTATGTATCCTGTGTGTAATATGAATATAAAATTAAATGTGTCCATTGACTATTATGGAATATGAGTTGTAATGTTCTTTCTGTTACATAGACAAAGTTTATATCCCATCAGTGGCAGCCACTTGAAGCACAGATACAGGAGATTATGAATGGGTCATTAGTTACTATGTTCTTTTTGCTGTCACGTGTACTGTAACATTTAATTTTAGTAAAAGCAAATAAAGAATTAAAGTACCACGATAGAGACTAAAGCTAAAATTCATGCTGGCCTTTAAGGAACTCCAGTTGATTCTTTCATAGTGTTCTTTTTTTAAACCATTACTTATATTACCTACACCAATGAGGTCAGGGGATCCCGTTTTTCCTATGGAATTAAGTAGTAGTTTTCAAACATAAAAGAACTCTTTCTTGTATACAAGCAATAACATCAGGAAAGAATTAAACTTCATTCTCTTGCTAATTCTTTTGTAATAAAATTTTAATTCGGTAAACATAATAATATGCTTATTTGCCAAGTCCCATATTAAGCATTAGGGATCCTAAGGTTAGAAAGAAAAATAAGAAATGGTCCTCTCCTTAAGGATCCCACAGTTTAAATGGAGAAATTATTTCTTGCAACTGTTAAGATAATTCTTCAAATTGAATGTAGCTTTCTTGATCCAGTATAGAAATATCACTTTTTGTTATATCAAAAGGTTTTCCTGAATTAATTTTTTTCTCCCTTTTGTATCCTCATAATTACCTAGCACTGGACTGCTGAGTGAATGGAAAATTAATTAGCAGGAGCTGATTCTAATTACTTTGGAATGAGTTGTTCATCTTTATCCTGAAGGCTTTGAAAATTAATACATATAAGCAGCATGGGAGCACCTTCTGGCTTTTCTGTCTGTGCATTGCTGATTTAACCAAGAATATATTTATAAACTTTGGAACAGACATAGTAGTTTACATTAGTTACAGAAAAGGGGATATTTCCCTGAATGTTCATTTTTTGTGCTTCTCAAAGCCTTTTTAAAAATTATTATTTTTATAATAGCCATCATTAGATTGGTTCTTCCTTTCTACAGCCTTTCTATTTTGTATGCACTTCTGGCTTTGTACATGCTTCTGCTATGGAACATGTCATAGTATATTGTAATTAATTATTTGCTTGTCTGTATTACCTAGTTAGTAGAAACTTCTTAAAGACAGGAGCTTTATCTTATTCTTTTTTACATCCTCAGCCCCTAAAACAAATTCTGACACATAGTAAGTACTCAAAAAATGTATATTGTTGCAGTTACTATGGATAAATCAGTGTTTTACCATAGTTCTATAGCATGTTTTTTTCAGGTAAATTAATGCATCAAGTTGGTGCCTTACCTTCCTATTTTTATGTCTAGAGAGCAGCATTAGATAAAAACAAATGTTTAAACCATTACGTCTGTTTGAAATGGTTTCCTACTATTTGGACAACTTAATATCCTCCAGATTTTTTATATAAGTAAGTTGGGAGATATTATGAAGTAATGGTTAAGAACATCATCTCTGAAGACAGATTGCTTGTGTTCTATGTTAATGTCTTTTTTGTTTTCATTTTCTCATCTATATAATAAAGATGTTAATAGTACCAAATTTCTTGGATAAAGTGAATTAATCTATGTAAAGCACTTAGAAAACTGACTCGTAGTAACTCTTAAGTGATGACCATGGTTGTTTCGTTAGAGTTTTTGTTTTTAGAGTAGGTCTGCTGGTGAAACCTTTTCGTAGCTTTTCTTCATTAGGAAATGTCTTTATTTCCATATTACTCCTGAAGGATATTTTCACTAGATACAGAAATCTGGGTTGACTGTTCTTTTCTTTCAGCATTAAAAAAAAAAAAGTAAAATAAAATATGATTCCACTCTCTTTTGCTCCATGGTTCCTGAAAAGAAATGAGCAATCAATTCAAATTGCTGTTTCCTTATGTGTAATGGCAAATTTCTCTGGCTGCTTTGAAGATATTTTTTCTGCAGCTTTAGTTTCAGCAATTTGATTATGATGTATCTGGGTGTAGTTTTCTTTTAGATTATCCTTCTGGGTTCAGTGAACTTTATGATTCTGTAAATTTATGTCTTTAACCAAATTTGGGAAATTTCCTTTTTTTTGCTGCTCCTATGACATGAATTTTAGATTTTTTGGTAATGTCTCACAAATCCCTGAGGCTCTGTTAATTTTTAAAATCTTTTTTACTCTGTATTAATTTTAGGTTATTTCTATGATCTATCTTCAAATTAGCTGACTTTTCCCCTCTTTCATCTTCATTCTGCCTTTGAGAATATCTAGTGGTTTTTATTTCAGATATATTTTCAGTTCTAAATTCTCCATTTGGTTTTTTTGTTAATGGTTTCCATTTCTCTACTAAGAACTTGTATTTTTACATTTATTTCAAAAGTATTGCCCTTTATGTCATGGAGAATAGTTATAATAACTGCTTAAAATTATTCTTCGGACAATTTCAATATCTGGCTTACCTTGGGGTTGACATCGGTTGATTTCTTTTCCCATGAGAACTGGTCAAATTTTCCTTGTTCTATGTTGAGAAATTTTGGATTGTATCCTGGACATTTTGAACACTGCATTGTAAGTAAATTATTTAACTCCTGTTAAAATCCTTTGGGGAATTTTAATTAGTTAGTTTTAGCAATTGATCTGATTGGGTTCAGATTGTAAATTCTGTCTCACTTTCTGTGGGTAGTGGCTCAGCCTTTGCTATATTGTTAGTGTCTGCCCAGTACATGAATGATTTAGGAGTTAGTTTGAGACTTGGGCAGTAGTATATACTAGGTTTATGTTTTAAAATCTTTTCTTGTACTTATTTTATACTGTCCCACGTATTCACAGCTCAGGGATGACCCTGGAACTTGGGTCAATTCACATCCAAAATTAGAGAATCCACCTTCTTTAGCTCTCTTCTTTTCAAGAATTTTCCCCTCACTCTCCAGCTTCCAGGGGACCCCATTCCCAGTTACTCTGGCCAGAAGAGGTTTCTTACAGAGTATTAACTCCCTTTGCAATTATGTAGTTGTACACAACTGACCTTTGGGACAAAGAGCAAAAGAAAAGAAAAAAGAGAGAAAGAGATTCCTCTTACCTTAGTTCTTTAGACAATATCGGCTCCTTTTTTTTGTTTCCATTAGCCAAAGAGATAGGTAGGTCTTCTCTCTGAGCTTTGGGTGCTAACACTGTCATTATGGTATTGCAGCTCCACAATTAGGCCTAGCCCCATTAAGAGCTGTTATTCAAGTTCTGACTTCAGTCCCAAATCTGCCTGCTATTATTTACATTAAACGTCATCAGGTAATCACTGTGTACTCTATAAACAATCGGTAGGAGAGAGAAGCTATGGTTACTTTCTCCATCTTGGCTGACACCAAAGAACAAGTGTTCAAACTTTAATACCAGATCCCTGACT